>NC_000003.12:86070606-86373636 GCF_000001405.40 Homo sapiens
GGTAATTTCTGATAAAACAATACAAAACAAAAAAAAAGCAGTAATCACAGCCAAATAAATGAAACACCTAATGAGAATTACTGTTGAGTAATGCTTTTTATTAAGTGGCACAAAGTACACACTAAAAACTATGCAAAATATAGGTAACTACAGTGTACGTACATGTAAGTATCTTGTACTTGCTGTGTATGGATGTTGGAAACCCATGTAATTATAATATGCATTTTGAATATTGGGAAAGAGGAAATCTTAGTGTAGATAATAGAATTTGTTTTGAAATATACACTGGCAATATTGAAATATACTCAGTGCAATATCTGCAGTTCTATTGCTGGATACTTAATGCAAAGGGATTTTAAAGAATTCTTCAGCAAGATCCAAGAGGTTGCTAATCTTCACCTCTCACATACTAAAGCATTCATTAAAAATACAACTAATTCAAGGACAAGTTAAGTTTTTCTTATTAATGTGACACAGTAACATTTTTATTTGGATTAGTTTTTGGTGTTATTGCAGAGAAAGAAATAACCTGAGTTTTAAATTTCGATTCATATCTCATTGAATTGGGAATTCTTCAATTTTGTTTGAAATGTGTGCATGTTTTCATAGATTGTAGCAAGTACAAATGTATTCAATGAAAGAACATAGGGTAGTTTTAATAGTTAAAGTCACTATATCTTAATGGGAATTTTAAAATATCTTTTCTTTTTCTATTCATTTTTTCCCTTTCTCTCTCTATTCTACCCCCAAACAAGCCCTTTGCACTCATACCCTTCCAAAGGCAATGGATTGAAAGTAGCAAGATAATAAAGAGAGTTAAAGGGGACAACATATAACAATGGGTTCTAAAATCATCAGCATTTTTATGTATTGAGATTATTAATATTGAATGCAATAGTTATTGGATATAGCTGGTAAGTTCTCTGCCATGCATACTTACAATAATCCTTCTACCTCTCACTTTTAACATGGGCTATGATACTTCAATATAAATAGAGGAAATAATTATTTACCAGATATCCCAGGAAGCATTCTTATGGAACTATTATAACAGTGCACTCCCCACCCCCTGGGAAATCTCAAAAGCCAAGTTCTTCAGTGTATTCTATGGTGTATGAATCTGCATTTGTTTTTCCTTTTCTATCATTAGCTTTTCCTAAAGGCAAAATATTATAACTTTATAAGAATAGTCCTTCTCCTGCCTATTTAATATTTCAATGTTAATATAATTGTATTGGTTTTTAAAAATAATTAAAATGGCAACACTTTGCGATCCAATCTGATATTTAATTTTTAAAATGTAACAATTTCTTATAAATTCATGCTGTGTTTTAAGTAAAAATCATGTATATGAATTATTTTACCAAGTAGTATTATCTGCACGAGACAAATTTAAGTATTTTAAAAATCATCCTTATTAATAAATAATCCTCATATAATGCACAGTATTGCCACAAATGCCCACTTCATTTTGTCTGCATAGACATATTAAGAATTTTTCAATGATGTAATTTAATTATCCTAAAAGAAATGACAGATTCTTCTGTAGGAAAAAATAAAAACATGAATATCTCAAATTATAATGGTTAATCTCTAAAATATGCTTAAAGTAAGATGTTTCTATGTTATGTGGTTATGTTATCAATAATATTTGGTTGATCTTCACATATTTTATATGCATATATATATCAAGAAGTTATATATATATAACTCAAGAAACTCAAGTTATATATATATGTCAAGAAATGTATGATTATTTTGGAGAGAATGGGCCCAAATGTGAAAAAGATATAAAAAAAACAAAAAAAACAAAAAAAAAACACTATTTTCCCCTACGAAATATACTGTATATTTCAAAAGAAGAAAAGTTAAAAGATATTTGAAGATTGCAGGGGCAAAACAAAAACCTACCAGGGCTCAGCACTTAAGCACTTTTCCCACATCCAGGGTCAAAGCAGCAGTAACTACATGGACTTTTAAGTGCGGTATGAAATGCAACATTACGCTTACAAACAGTACTGTCAAACCTCAAATGCTTTCTTTCTTCAGATGCTTTTTCGTGTACATGATACTAGTAGACACTTTTCTCTTTATATTTACTGATAGTGAAAATCATACGCAATAAAATATTGATGTTTGAAGGCAGTGGTCACCAATTGGTTAAAAAACTATGAAATGTAAACTGAATTGTTATATCTCTATCCTTTTTGCTTTTCTCTGTGTTTTTAATGTATGGAATAAATCTCATAAATAGAAAGAAAAATAATCTAGAAATTTTTCAAAGCTAGTACTCTTTCTCCTTATAAATGTACACAATTTTAATCTTTTTACAAATTTATTTAACTGTACCTACTGTACTTATTGTAGATTCAATGACGCAGTTAAGTCATCACCCAAGGATTTATGAATTTGAGATTACTGACCTGTTTTCTTCATATTGCATTCACATCAATATTTGTGAATTTGTTGTTCAGCTTTTCATTCAAACAAAAAATATTCCCTCAAGAAAGCTCCATTTTTATCATAAACATTTCAACATAACCAACATTAGAACAAGTCTGCCATGTTAAAAATAATTTAAAGACTTATCTCTGAAAACGGTATCCAGAAACGCAGGTGTTCCCAGTAATGTAGCTTCAAAAATAAAATGTGCTATTTATATGACATGAAATTCATAACTTTTGGAAGGGTATATTTATGACAGCATAAAAAATAAATTCTGTGCTATAAAGAAGATCCAACAAATTAACCATATAAGCACAGAAAATAGAGAAACACAGTTATTGAATCTACTCTTGTCATTAACATTTTCAAAAAACAAAATGCATATTGTAATATTTGGTACATGACACTTGCATGTTGATATGCCTATATACTTACAAAGTATTCAATGTGTACTTAGCGGCGCTTAAAATATGTCATGTACAACTCTTATAAACATTTTTACAGGGTTCCCATTTGCACTTCATCTTTCAGTAAAGTCTTGTCAGAAAAAAATTGTCTGATAAATATGGAAAAATAAAATTTGAATTTTAGTTATCTGTTGGACATTACTGAATTGTCTATTCATTTAGTACATTTTCTTAACCTTGAAAACAGACATTGAAAGATGGAACTTTCTTTTTTCCAGTGACAGGTCATTAAATCGATGGTACAAAACATACTTCTTTATGCCAAACACATTATTTTGAATACCTTTTTTTCAACTTCATACATTATCCATCCATTTTAGTTTTCCTCGATGATGCCCATTTTCTTTGTAAATTTCTAAGTGGAAGTTTTAAAAATTAAGCATCAGTAAAATAAATGTTATCTTATTTGTACAACATTTAATCGTTATTCCTTGGAATATATGAACCTTGTAAAGTGATGACTAAGGGTCAAAAAAAATGTTGCTGACTTAGGGAAATTTGCTTGAGAATGCCAAAATTTTAAAACTCTGTAAAGGTAATTTTACATTCACTTATGTGTGTTTACTAATGTTGAGTAGGAACAGAAGCAAAAATACCTAAACCTATTTTTTTTAACCTTCACACTCTAACCAGTATTATATATTTCAGCTACCTAAGATAATGCAATTAATCATATATCCAACCTAAGCTTCTGCCAATAAGGATTTCAGATAAGCTTTTAAATTTATGGAGGATTTTCTTTGTGTCTTTGGAAGTTCACTTACCATAAAGTATTTTATAGTCTACTTTAAATAACAGATTTTGTTACACAGGGTAAGCCAAAGGCTGTACAAGATTTAGTGTCATTGGGTCTCATATTTGTGTTAGACCATGAAATATTCCATTAAAATTTATCTGTAAATACAAGGCAAGATTTTGTATCTGGTTTATTTTATTAAATAACGTTTTATTTTATTTTTAATTCACATTTTTCCATTTAATATAAAAAAATGCCCTGCATTACAGGTTAGGAAATTTGACACTGTATCAAAGATCAGATTCAGCACATCTGAAAGAAAATAATGGTATTTGAAGTAAAACATTCATCCACATGTGTTCTTTTTTTTAAAAAAATTACCCAAAATGCCCACTCTTATGCAGCTTTTCAACTGTATACAAATATGGAACCCGTGCTTGCTAGGTAAATCCACTCTGTTTTCATAATGGCAATTCTTATTCTGGTCAAATAATGTATAGAATTGAAGGCACACTAGAAATTCTGGTTCATACAATTCACTAAAGGATATTAAGTCTAAGTGTTATTAATAATTGGGTTTTGATGCCTATGAAGGCCCTTCATTATATGATAATTCCAGGATATTGCTAATATATAACAGTATATACATTTAAACTAAGAAGTTCCAGGAAATGTATGGTTTTTTTTAAAATTTCAAATCATACTTTATCTGTTTTGTAAAATTTAAGAATTTTTATCCTCTAGTGTTTTGAAACCTAGAAAACATACAAATGGCTAGAGAAAAGATTAAAGGAGAAAAACAGTTTCTCAGTTTCATTTCAAATACCACTTAGGCTGCTCTGTGTTACATGTCATTTAATCAACACATCACTATAGGCTTAGAATGAGGGTTAGGCTTAAGTTTAGGAAAAAAAGTAGCACAAGTATTGAACACCTATATTGTCATCAGTTCACCTCATGAACTTTACCAAGAACCTGAACATAGTATTTTGTGCTGATACCTCCATAACTTAGTTCTGTAATATAATTAAATTATCCTTCCAAGAATTGTTGTTTTCTTCATATTTAAGCATTCCTATGCTGAACGGAGGAATAAGGAAATTCAGTACTTTAAAAAAATTGTAATTATACAATGCATCTTATGATTTAAGCAAACAAAAAAATTACAAATGAATGACCTATCTTTCAACTACTGTTTATGATCTGAAGTTTGATATTTTTCTACATCGATTAAAAAAAGGTCTGACTAATAAGCACATACTTTACTGTGCTAGAATATACAGAAAATCAAATCACCTTCTTTTTTTTTTTTTTTTTGAGACCGAGTTTCATTTTGTTGCCCCACAGCCACCTGGGTTCAAGTGATTCTCGGGCCCCAGCCTCCTCAGTAACTGGCATTACTGGCATGCGTCCCCATGCCTGGCTAATTTTTTGTATTTTTAGTAGAGACGGGGTTTCACTATATTGGCAGGCTAGTCTTGAACTCCTGGCCTCAAGTGATCCACCTCAGCCTCCCAAAGTGCTGGGATTACAGCTATGAGCCACCGCACCCGGCCAAGTCTCCTTCTGAAGATTGGCCCAAACAATCAGTAGAATGGGTGACTTACTGAGAGTCCTAAAAACACATGCCTTGTACATTCTACCAAAACCTTCATTCATTTTGTCTTTACTGATCAAAATCCTTACACAGATAGAGGATACATATAATATGAACATACGGGATATTTTACTGATCCATTGTTATGGAAGTTAGTATACAATAATAATGTAATTTAGGCACCTTTAAACTAATGAAGTATTTCTGGAAAACATCATAACCTTGGAATACTGCAACCATTTACTCTAAAATTTGAAAACATTCAACTAAGTTATATTTCAGAAATATGTCTTTTTACTTCCGAATGAAAAGAATATAAAGAAGTGAAAATTTTTGCAACCTATTGGGAGATCAAAAAGGAATTGGAAAATTCCTAAGGTAAGGTTTGTATATTTGGCAATTTTGCCAAAGAACAGAACACATTCCAATATCCTGCCAGAGAATCAGACAAGCTTTAGGGAATGTATTCTCAGATAGTTAACAAGTCCACAAATTCTGGTGTCTCCGTGACAGGAGGATTTAGGATCTAATGACTCCAATTGTTTTTTACTATATAGTCTACCAATTACATATTTATTTGCTTAAAAAAGTAACTTTTCAAAACTAGATTTGTTTCCAGGAAAATATAAACCCATCAACCTTGTACCTCTTGCTATGAATTATTCACTCACCAGCTTCAGACTATTTTCTGCTCCTAAGCAAAGAATAAGATATGTATTGCCTCATATGACCCTGAAGTTCCTTCTATGGCCTGTAGGAACCATACAAGTTATTGGCATTTAAAATCATATTTTGATTACTGGTTTTTCTGCTAATCTGGTAGAATCATAAAATAATTTGACATAAACACAGTACTTTGCTTAGAATTTGGGGCATATTTTAAGTCTAACATGAACCCTAGGCTAAGAAATTATCACCATGGCATTGTACCAAAAATCATGTTTCCCATTTCTAGAAACACTCCTCATTCATGTTTGTCCTTCTTTCACCAACCCTTCTTTCACCTACTTGTGGTCTTGGTGTTAAGATGTTGGAGTATTCCCACCGTGTGATTCTCTGCTTCTCCCAAATACCTTTTGTCTTCCCAGAGATATAAACAAAATACCATGCTTCCAATAAAAGACAATTTTGAATAAATCTTTTAAACTATCACAACATTTTACAAAAAAGAAAATTCAGGCCAAAGGTCACATGGTTATTTAGAGAAAGACACATATTTAAGATATAAAACTAACCACTGAAGTAAATTGTCCTTCTATTATGTAATTTTGTGTCACTGGGAATATAGTTGGATTCTTCCTCTTTAATATTATTCTTAGAGCATTATTAGCATCTGTCAGTGGCATAATCTTTATTGCAGGGATCTTAGAGTCACCATTGTCAAAATTTGTAAGATTCTGAGCTTCTCTTAGTGTTCTCAGAAGTGAATGATTGAAATAAAATTGAGATATAAATTCTATTTAGTGAGTTATCTGACAGGAGGTAGGAACTGAACTAGAAATTTATTTTTTTAATGAGGGTGTGTAGAAGAGAAAGAGACAGTTTGGAAACAAGGTAATTTATTGAGGTAGAACTGAAAAACTTTCCACTAAAGCACTCTTTGGATGCTCAAGGGAAGTGTAAGGATGTTAGGGAGTACATGGTAAAAATAAGCACATTTTCCCAATTTATTGTACAAATTGATCTGGAGCTTTGGAGGTGAAGCCACTGAAATGCCACTAGGAATAATCTTGTAGCATGCTACTGTTGGTGGTCAAACCCATTACTAGCAAACTGAAGGAATAATCACATTTTGGCAAATGTATAAACTTGAATGAGTCAGAGTTTTTCAAATGTGTAAAAATGAAATCATTTAAATCCAAATTTGTATAGCTCATGGCTGGCTTATATTGATGATCTTAGGCAGTCCTGTTTCTTACATAGAATGACTTGTTAGTTGAGTTGAGGCTGTAATCTTACACTTACCATGATGCCTGACTTAATGGGTAAATAACCAGTGGAGTGACACAGGACCCTGAACTCTGAGTGGGACCTCATACCTGGGGCTTAATGCTCTCCAGTGGCCATCTTGAAGTGCTTAAAAATTTTATCTTTGAGTTGGTTTTGTAAGCAAAGTCTGATAGGACAACAGAGCATGTGCTGAAGGCATCTGCTTATGTTAGTTTCTTTACATATACCAATATATAGTTTCTTTCAGATATACCTATATATGTATATATGTGTGGTTCTGCCTCACACCAATTTGCCACCCAGAATAGGTTCTTAGTGACCATCTTCTCCATTCATACCCGAAGACCACTGTAGCCCAAAGCACTCAGCAGAGGTATAGGGAAATTGAGATCAGGATGTGCTTGCCCCAAGTGTGGATTTGCGGGGCATGCCTGTGATGGTCTGTACAAACTGAGTATCCCTGTGCCCAGGAGAGTTCAACATTAAATAGCGTATATTTACCATGCAAGAAAGAAAATAAATACCATACTACAAAATGTTTTTTTCTGATCTTTGAACAAAGAGTGTCACACTACATTTGGCACTGGGCCTACCTAGGAAATTATGCAGTTGGCCCTGCTTGCCATTGGAACAATGTAACAGCAATTTATTGTTTTCAAAATCTTTAGACTAACAATTGAATATCTTAGATGCTTTAATTTAATTGGCATAGAGTAGCATATGGAATTGTAGTTTATTCCCTTTTTTTAGCTAAACATGTTGCAAATCTTTCCTTTTATTATTTCAGAAGAGACACACAAGTTACATTATGGTTCAAGATCCTAAGTCCAAAGTTACTAAGGAAATTAACATGCTCATTTTCTCTATGTTCCAACCTCTGTGAACAATAGAACAACTACAGAAATGAAAGATGTAACATTCCTTTGAAAAAATCCAAACAACATACATTTAAAAAAATGTCCAACTACTGTTTTATGTACCTCAGAAAAGGGACTCTGCTAATCATTTCAGTTCATTCCTTAAGGACATCAGTTTAATGTATTACAGTGTGGGGGTGGGGGGTGCTGAGGTGAAGTCAACAATATAGCGTAAAATGAATAGAGTAATAAATTTACAAACAAACAGTAAAAAGTGATTTATTTGCTCTTTATGATTAAATTGAGAAGCAAGTGGAAATTTATTTTGATTCCATTTCATAGTCTTTGTGTTCTTATGAGATTCTCAGCAATGAATAATTGAAACTATTATCACTGATTTTGTTGAAATGCAAATAGAATTTCACTAATTCCCACCATCAAAACACTTCAATACTTCTCACTACTGATTGAATTATATATACACATGAATATGTCAAATTTAATCCTGCCTTTCAATCCAATTTATACATATAATTTCCTTTACTTTCACCCTAGCATCTAGTTTTCTTAAAAATCATGCATTCTGCAAATCCTTCATGTTTCTTCACTTATTTCTTCATTCATTCAAGAATTTATATTTGCTAGATATCAAGCCAGTCCTGTGATCTGGAGGTACAATATTGAGTAAATAGAACACTACCCTTCTTTTATAGAATATATACTCTAGGGAAGGAAACAGATGTTAGCCAAATATTCTCAAAAGTTAATACATAATTACCAGTTCTAATTAATGCGATGGACATGTATAAAATACTGTAAAGGATGCAAATAAAAAGCCTCCCTTGTGGGTGTGGCACAGTCTGAGGAGGAAGTGCTTGAATTGATATTAGAATAAATGAGTAGGTGTTAACCAGGTGAACACAGGCGGAAAATACAATCAACACAGAGGAAGCAAGAAATGTTAGGGGCTGAGGCTTGTTCTGAAAAACAGAGAGGATGCCAGAGCAGAACTACTTCGTCTTTTATCTTATATATCTATCTCATGTCATGATTTCTTACATAATCAGCATTAAATATTTATTCACTGAAAACTATAAGCAATGCCCTGTATTGTGGAATATGAGTAAACTATGTAAAAGCAACTATTGACAGGGTCCGCTCATAAAAACAGAAATCACTCTGAGTTTTTTTAAGTGTCAGTTATCTAGGTGAGAAAGCAAACATGGGTAGTTTACCAGAGATTACCAACATTAGAAAACTGCTATCACTCTCTGGCTGGAAAGAGGAAGAGCCCAGAAGCTGTCAGAGCTTGTTCGCTTAGCATACCTAGTGTCTAGTACTGAGTTTAACTTTCATGTATATGTGTGTGCATGTATGTGTGTGTGTGTATATAAACATATATACATAAACATGTATATACACGTATACATAAACATGTATATACACGTATACATAAACATGTATATACACATGTACATAAACATGTATATACACATACATAAACGTATATACATATATACATAAACATGTATATACACATATATGAACATGTATATACATATATAGATATTTATATACATATATACACATAAACATGTATATGTTAGTTTTTTTTACATATACCTATATATGTATATATAAAAACTCTCATGGTAACAAAGAGGAGAAAGCAGAAGGGAAAGGTGTATTCATTTAACTTAATACACATTTACAGGGCAGCAACTTATTGCTACACTCAGTACTTGATACTGGATATGTCAAGTGAACAAAATCCAGTTTCTGCTTTCAGGATGCTAATGAAAGAGAAAATGTAAACAAGCAACCCCGGTTTACATTACTAAGGTGTGTATTCGGGTTAAGTTTAGTATGAAATGATAATCACACAGCATCTTGAGAAAACAGGGTAATGTGACATCTAGACAGAGAACAAGAGGATGAGTAGGAGTTCTCCAGGCAAAGAGAGGATTAAGAAGTGGGGGAACATTCCAGGTAGATCCCACAGCATATTCAAGGACAGGGATAAAGCATAAAGAAGATCATGGAGATCTGGAGTTACCGTTTTCACTAAGAGTGCACTGATTACAAGAAGGATGAAGAGATGAATTCAGAACAGTAAGCAGTGGCTGGATCATGCATTCTTCTCTAAGTCCTATTAAGAATTTTACACTTTGCCCTTAGAAAAATGTGTCACCGAAGTATTTCAAGGGTTAGGAGCAGCAAGGACAATTAGTATCACTGTTTTTCCTTTAATGACAGGGCCCTCCACATCTGCGGAGGAATTTCAAGATTTCAGAAGTAAAAGTATTTGAGTTCTCTACAATTTTGTTGCTTTTACCCTAAGCCAAAGCTAACTCCACCCAAAACACAGATGGAGAAATGTCCCCTTATCAAATTCTGTTTGCCTACTACTCATCAAGATAATTTTATCTTCAGAATATTAGTTTATTTTCTTCAACCACTTATATTTACATAAGTCAATTTTAGCCCCTTTTTGACAAAAACCAAAACCCTTTACAGAATTATCTTTGCTTAAGTCTGAGAGCATACTTATTAATCCTCAGTATTACTCTATTCTTTGTTGAAATTGTTAAAAATTCCATAAAGTGCTAATGTATTTTTATTGAATAGAATATGGTAGAGTATAGGAATGTAGCATAAACCGAGATTTCCATTTAAAAGCAGAGATTCTGAATTCCTAAAAATTTAGAAGATGTTCAATAAATATTTGTTGAAGGGATGAATTGTCCTTTCAAACTATTTTTTTTATTTCTTAAGGAAGGTGCATTAATTCATTAATTTAACAGGTGTTTATGTTGTGCTACCTATATGTCAGAAATGCTTTTAGCACGGATATAATTGTAAATAAAAAAGGAAAATAAACTTTGATTTCATGGTATTCTTTTACTGGAGACGAGATGAATAAAGATAAAGTAAAAATATCTATGTTATCAGATTACAATAAAATTACAGAAAAAATAAAACGGAAAAGTTTGCAGAAGTGTAGGGATTCAGTTTTTAATAGGTGGGTATTAAGGGCTTTACTGAGAAGATAATATTTTGACAAAGACCCAAAGGAGGAGAAAGAGTGAAGTGTGTGGTGTTCTGGGGAGAGATTATTTCAAGCTGAGGGAGCAGCAATGCAAAAACCTCAAAAGTAGGAGTATCCCAGTATGCATGAAGAAAATCAATGAGTTACTTGGGAGAAGAATGAAGAGGAAACGGAAATAAGAACCGACGAGTAATGGAATGAGAGAGGGAATACTTTTTAGGATCTTTCAGGTTATTTTCAATACTATGACTTTTTTATAAGTCAAATTAAAATCAGAATATTTTGAGCAGATGAAGGGTATGCTCTAACATGTTTTAACAGAATCACTCTAGATTCAGTAGTAAGAATAGACTGTGAACAGGGAAAAATGGAAGCAAGGACACTGATGAAAAGATTTTTACAATCATTCTGCCCAAACATGATGTTGATTTACCGAAGTAATAAAAGAAGAGATAGTGTATTAGTCGATTTTGAGTTTCCATAGGAGTACCTGAGGCTGGGTAATTTTAATACAAAGAAAAGAAGTTTATTTTTGTATTTTTAACTCATTGTCCTGTAAACTATATGAAGCATAGTGATGGCATCCACTTCTAGTGAGGGCTTCAGGAAGCTTCTCACTTATTGTGAGACTTATTCAGTATCACAAGAATAGTACAGGAAAGACTAGCCCACATGATTCAAATACCTCCCCCGGGTCCCTCCCACAACACGTGGGAATTCTGGGAGATACAATGCAAGTTGAGATTTGGATGGGGACACAGCCAAACCATATAATTCCACCTCTGGCTCCTCCAAATCTCTCATCCTCACATTTCAAAACCAATCATGCCTTCCCAATGGTCTCCCAAAGCCTTAACTCATTTCAGCATTAACCCAAAAATACAAAGTCCAAAGTTTCACCTGAGACAATACAAATCCTTTCTGCCTATGGGCCTGTAAAATCAAAAGCAAGCTAGTTACTTTCTATATACAATGGAGGTACAAGTATTGGGTAAATACAGCCACTCCAAATTGGAGAAATTGCCAAAACAAAGGGGTTGCAGGGCCTATGCAAGTCCAAAATCCAGTTGGACAGTCAAATTTTAAAGCTCCATAATTATTTCCTTCGACTCCAGGTCTCACATCTGGGTCATGCTGATGTAACGGGTGGATTCCCATGGTCTTGGGCAGCTCTGCCCCTGTGGCTTTGCAGGGTACAACCTCCCTCCTGGCTGCTTTCAAGATGTGGTGTTGAGTGTCTGTGGCTTTTCCAGGCTCACGGTGCAAGCTCTGAGTGGATCTACTATTCTCGGTTCTGAGGACGGTGGCCCTCCACTAGACAGTGCCTCAGTAAGGACTCCCTGTGGGGGCTCTGACCCCACATTTCCCTTCTGCACTACCCTAGCAGAGGTTCTCCATGAAGGACTCACCCCTGCAGCAAACTTTTGGCTGGACATCCATGTGTTTCCATCTATCTTCTGAAATCTAGGTGTAGGTTCCCAAACCTCAGTTCTTGACTTCCGTGCACCCACATGCTCAATACCACGTGAAAGTTGCCGAGGCTTGGGGCTTCCACTCTCTAAAGCCACAGCCCAAGCTGTACATTGGCCTCTTTCAGCCACGACTGGAGCAGCTGGGACACAGGGCACCAAGTCCCTCGGCTGCACACAACAGAGGGACTCAGCGCCTGGTCCACGAAACCCTTTTTTTCCTGGGCCTTGGGGCCTGTGATGGGAGGGGCTGCTGTGAATGTCTCTGACATGGCCTGGATATGTTGTGCTCTTGGTCTTGGGGATTAACAACAGGCTCCTTGCTACTTATGCAAATTTCTGCAGCCGGCTTGAATTTCTCCCCAGAAAATGGGTTTTTCTTTTCTATTGCATAGTCAGGATGTAAATTTTTCAAACTTTTGTGCTCTGCTCTCCTTATAAAACTGAATGCTTTTAACAGTACTTAAGTCATCTTCTGATTGCTTGGCTGCTTAGACATTTCTTCCGCCAGATCATCTTCTGCTAAATCATGTTTCTCAAGTTCAAAGTTCCACAAATCTCTAGGGTAGGGGAAAAATGCTCTCAGTCTCTTTGATAAAACGTAACAAGAGTCACCTTTGCTCCAGTTCCCAACAAGTTCCTCATCTCTATCTGAGATCAACTCAGCCTGGACTTTATTGTCCATATCACTGTCAGCATTTCGGGAAAAGGTATTCAACAAGTCTGAAGGAAGTTCCAAACTTTCCCACATTTTTCTGTCTTCTTCTGAGCCCTTCAAACTGTTTCAAACTCTGCCTGTTACCCAGTTCCCAAGTTGCTTCTACATTTTCACGTATTTTTTCAGCAGTGTCCCACTCTCCTGGTACCAATTTACTGTATTAGTCCATTTCCATGCTGCTAATAAAGACAAACCTGAGACTGGAGAGAAAAAGAAGTTTAATTGCACTTACACTTACAGATGTCTGGGGAGGCCTCAGAATCATTGCAGGAGGCAAGAGGCACTTCTTACATGGCAGCAAGAAAAGAAAATGAGGAGGAAGCAAAAGTAGAAACCCCTGATAAACCCAGCAGATCTTTTGAGACTTGCTCACAATCACAAGAATAGCACGGGAAAGACCAGCCCACTTGATTCAATTACCTCCCCCTGGGTCCCTCCCACAACATGTGGGAATTCTGGGAGATACTATTCAAGTTGGGATTTGGGTGGGGACACAGCCAAACCATATCAATTTATAATATCATCTTTATTCATAATAGTTAACAATGGGATATAACTCAAATGTTCAACTGATAAATGCTTGAAAAAATATATAATGCTTATATATTATATATAAGCAATATATAATATATACAATGCTTAAAAGTATTATTTATATATTTATATATCCATACAATCAAAACTACTCAATAATAACTCAATTGAAAAAAGGAATGAACTACTGGTACAGAGAAAAAATATAGATAGGTGGGTATCAGCCAATTTATGTTAAGTATAAGAAGCAGAACTATATGATACCCATTTTATTATTTTATTTATGTGCATTTCTAAAAGAGAGAAAAACCACAAACAGAACACCGGTCACTGCTTTCTCAGGGATGAGGTTGAGGAGAGGAATCACTAAAAGTGGCAGAGGGGAACTTTTGGGGGTTATATACATGGTCTGTATTACAAGTATTCTTATAGTTACATAACAAAATGCATTTGTCAGTACTCATACATTGCACATATAAAATTGATGAACTTTATTATGATGTAAGTTACATCTCAATGAAGCTGGGTAAAAATATCAGTGATAGGATAGATTATATGATTAATTGTGCTGAGATGATTTTTGTCCATGCGGAAAAATGCAACTTTTTTACATCACTCCATATACAGAAAATAAATCTGGGGTGGATTAAAGAGGAGGGGATAATCCTACTGGGAAGACAAAACCAGAAACTTCTTCTATAACGTTTTATCGAACAGGTTGAAGAGCTGAAAGAGTGAAAGTGAGAGAGAAAGAGAGGAAATAAAAGCTCTGAAGAAAATATGATGACTATATTATCAACACCTTGAGAGCCAATCCGATAGGTATATATTATAGAATCTTTTGGTCTTTTTGTACCTAAAAATAATAAAACATAAATAAATAAAACATTTATTATCAAAGGATAATTGTTAAGGGATAATCAATAATTATGGAATGTTATGCTAGTATAAGTAACTATACATTTGTGCAAATTTCTGAGAAAAAGTAGACTTACTGGGACAGATTGGATTTTTCAGCAATGACAACAGCAGTATTTTCAGTCAAATAATGCATTTCCTTTTGGAGAGAAATGAGATCTATATTTTCTCCTTTTGAATTTGGGAAGGGGCTTGTGACTGCTCCAAAGCACAGAATATGAACAAACCTACACTGTGTGAATTTCAAGGCTGAGTCATATCAAATTCCTCTTGGTACTCTCTCTATCTCCTGGAAAACATGCTTTAGAGTCTGGGGATTCATTTAACAATGCCTTCTACCTTGAAGCTGCTATGCTGGGAAACCCAAGTAGAAATAAAGAGAGATGCCCAAGAACTCCTAGCCATTCCAGTGTCCAGACAAGTCTTCTCCATCCAGGTACTAGCATGTGAGTAAATGAGATTTCAGATGATTCTGGACCACTGGCCTCAAGCTGCCCTGGGTGACAGAGTAGAGCAGAAACAAGCTAGCCCTCTCAGGCACCAGCCCAGACAACAGATTTGTGCACAAAACGTGTTTTATACCACTAAGTTTTGGAGTTTTCTATACAGCACTAGATATCTAGGACATATGTCTGAAAATAGAAGGTAGATAGAAAATTGAAAAGGGATAAACAATCTGTCAAGTGAAACAGAATAAGCTTAGTTTTGACACCAGATTCATACAACAGTGGACATTTCACGTCTGTATCTTTAGACAATGTGTAGAACGCTGAAAAGGCACCTGGAAAAGAGGTCTGGAGGAGTTTTAAATTTTGAAGACATAGCTCAAAAATTATTTCTCTCATGGAGGCATATATGCTGCACCTTTGTGTTTTCAAGGCTCTGATCACTCACTCTTGACTAAGTTCCAGGTCATTAGGACAGAGAATCAAACAGAAGTCATAGAGGTTTTTCTTTCCATTTAAAAAATTCTATTTTCTATCATCATCTACTTACTCTCCCAAGTGCATGTCAGTAACATTAATTCTTAATTGTTCTAGGTAAATTTTATTTAGTCTCTGTAACCTCAGAGTAATTATAGTGATGAAATTTAAATTGCTACTTGGCGCAACAGCATTCCTTTTGTTTTTTTCTCTTTTTCTGCTACCAAAATAGAAGTTGTTTAAAACAACATTTGTAAAAAACTTAATTTGGAAAATGTAATTCAACAAGTAATTGCTGAAGACCTGCTAGAACAGAAGCTATCCTGCAAACATTCATGAGAAATAAAAAGATGCTTTCCCTATAGACATAAATATCTTGTAGAGAAGGTAAGACACTTCAACATAAAAAATGGCATTCTTTAAATACATAAATTATGGAAAATTATATGGTAAATGGCACAATAACATAAAAATTCAAAATGATAATATTTGGCTGTTGAGTAAATGGAAGAGGATTTTCCATGATATCAGGCTATATATATTGACACTTTGTTGATCGACCAAAATGATATTTTAGATTAAAATAAACAGCCTGGACACATGCATAAACTTGAAGAAGCACAGAGTATAACTGGAGACACAATGTAATTTAATTTACTTAGATAAATACATGCATTGCAAGGTAAGAATATTGGATTTTATCTTTTAACAAAATTGCTTTTGATAGTTTGAGGATAGATTTGGTATGGTAAAACATTATATTTTAGAAAATTATACTTTTATATTAAGTATAAATCAATCCAAAATTTGGAATATAAATTCAGCAGTAATGTATGTATTTTTATGAATATAGGTAGTATGTGATATCCTTTGGTTTAAGATGGTGGGCAATCATCTTGTCATTTCTTAACTGGAACCAGTAACAATAAAAACAACAATAAGTAGAAATAACAATAAAAAAAACACTTAAGAAAACAAACTTTATTTTAGCCAGAATAGGGAGGCACCTATACTTCCAACCTCAATAGGTGAACAGATAGATGAGTTGAAAGAGTATAGCAGACTTTGGCCAGATGCAATAAGGAACTAGATTTTCTAAACTATATGCCACAGACCAAAAAGTAAAACCAACTTATTTTGAACAAGCAGATCAGAGTATAAAAGCTGGTTGTAGTAACCTCTTGAACTTTGATTGACAATAGTTCTGTTAAAGCAGAAGCTGGAAATTATGCAGACATTCCATCACAGCAAAAGCTACCCTGTCGTGTGACAGGTTAGAGGAGAAACTTTGGATTGCAAACAGCCTTGCTGCTGCCAATATTTGTCAGCTGAAGTTAAGTAAAGTAACTTAATTATATCACACACACACAGACAACACATACGCGCACACACACACACACGCTCACGCACATACACACACACACACACACACACATATCCTCACCCTGGGGAGTGGTTTTGCCTTTCTAAACATATATTTACTTTGTTCCTTGTAATGATACTCTGCTTTTTGTTTTGTTTTGTTTTCTGTCTTTGTTTTTCATTTATATTCTCTATTTCCCAGGTAAAAGTGATTACCTCTTTGTTTCATAGGTAAGAACGAGAGTCTGGTTCCCCCAACCCCTATCTCCTATGCATAGTTATTTGTTTAGGAATGAAACTGTCACCCAACACAACGAGTAAGACTGAATTTCAGAGATTTTGGAAGTAAAAGCTAATAAGTGAAATATTTTCCCTTTCTTTTCTTTCCTCTTTTTTAAAATTTGTGAGATTGAATTTTTGTGATTTCCACATATCAGATATTCAACTTCTGACTCTTAATAAAACAAGACTTATTTTTCTCTTGTAACCACTATAACAAGGAAGAAAGCAAGGCCAGAGCAGACACAGCCATTAAAAGACACAGGAACCCAGGTATTCATTCTCTGTTTTCCTGTTATGCAGTCATGCCCACAAAATGGCTGCTCCCCTGCTGGCAAAAACAGGTTGAAGGTTAAGGAGCTATGGCACTGGCCCGCTCAATATTTCAGTTATTTTGGAAAAATAATATTGTATTAGTCTGTTTTTATGCTGCTAATAAAGACATACCTGAGACTGGGTAATTTATAAAGAAAAGGAGATTTAATGGACTCAGTTACACGTAGTTGAAGAGGCCTCACAGGTATAACAGAAAGTGAAGGAGAAGCTAAGTCACATCTTATGTGGTGGCAGGCAAGAGACCATGTGTAGGGGAACTCCCCTTCATAAAACCTTTGAATCTCATGAGACTTATTCAATATCACTAGAACAGCATGATAAAGGCCAACCCCCAGGATTCAATTACCTCCCACCAGGTCATACCCATGACATGTAGGGATTATGGGAACTACAATTTAAGATGAGATTTGGGTGGGGAAACAGCCTAACCATATTATTCCTCCCCTGCCCCCTCCTAAATCTCATATCCTCACATTTCAAAACCAATCACGCCTTCCTGACAGTCCCTCAAAGTCTTAACTCATTTCAACATTGACTCAAAAGCCCACAGTCCATGTCTCATCTGAGGCAGGGCCAGTCACTTCTGCCTATGAGCCTGTAAAATCAAAAGCAAGTTCGTTACTTTCTAGACACAATAGGGGTACAGGCGTTTGGTAAATACACCCCTTCCAAATGGGAGAAATTGGTCAAAACAAAAGGGCTAAAGGCCTCATGCAAGTCCAAAATCCAGCAGGGCAGTCATATCTGAAAGCTCCAAAATGATCTCCTTTGACTCCATGTCTTACATCCAGGTCACGCTGATGCAGTAGTTGGGCTCCCATGGTCTTGGCCAGCTCTGCTCCTGTGGCTTTGCAGGGTAAAGCTCTTTCCCTGGCTGCTTTCATGTGCTGGTGTTAAGTGTCTACAGCTTTTCCAGGCACACAGTGCAAGCTGTCAGTGGATATACTATTCTGGGGTCTGGAAGACAGTGGTCCTCTTCACACAGCTTTACTAGGCAGTGCCTCCAGACTCTGTGTGGGGGCTCCCACTGCACAGTTCCCTTCTGCACTGCCCTAGCAGAGGTTCTCCATGAGGGTTCTGCCCCTGCAGCACACCTCTACCTGAACATCCAAGCATTTCCATACACCCTTTGAAATCTAGGTGGAGGTTTCCAAACCTCAATTCTTGACTTCAGTGCACCCACAGGCCCAATACCACATGTAAGCCACCAAGGCTTGAGGCTTGCACCCTCTGAAACTATGGCCTGAGCTGTAACTTGGCTTCTTTTAGCCACAGCTGGAGCACCTGGAACACAGGGCACTGAGTCCCTAGGCTGCACAGACCAGAGGGGCCCTGGGCCCAGCCCATGAAACCATTTTTTCCTCCTAGGCTTCCAGGCCCATGATGGGAAGGGCTGATGTGAAGGTCTTTGACATGTCCTGGAGATATTTTCCCCATTGTTTTGGTGATTAACATTTGGCTCCTCATTACTTGTTCAAATTTCTGCACCCTCTTGAATTTGTTCTCAGAAAATGAGTTTTTCTTTTCTATTGCATTGTCAGGCTGCAAATTTTTTGAACTTTTATATTCTGTTTCCCTTTCAAACATAAGTTCCAATTCTAAAATGTGTCTTTGTGAAAACATAAAACTGAATGCTTTTGACAGTGCCCAAGTCACCTCTTGAATGCTTTGCTGCTTAGAAATTTCTTCTGCCAGATACCCTAAATTATCTCTCTCCAGCTCAAAGTTCCATAAATCTCTAGGGTAGGGGAAAAATGTCATCAGTCTCTTTGCTAAAACACAGCAAGAGTCACCTTTTATTCCAGTTCCCACCAAGTTACTTATCCCCATCTGAGACCACCTCAACCTGGACTTCATTGTCCATATCACTATCAGCATTTTGGTTAAAAACATTCAACAAGTCTCCAGGAAGTTCCAAATTTTCCCACATCTTTCTATTCTCTTCTGAGTCCTCCAAACTGTTCCAATCTCTGCTTGTCACCCAGCTCCAAAGTCACTTCCACATTTTCAGGTATCTTTGCAGCAGAACCCCACTCCCTGGCACTAATTTACTGAATGGTTCGTTTTCACACTGATAATAAAGACATACCCAAGAGTGGATAATTTATAAAGAAAAAGAGGTTTAATGGACTCACAGTTCCACATGTTTGTGGGGAGGCCTCACAATCATGGCAGAAGGTGAAGGAGGAGCTAAGTCACATCTTACATAGTGGCAGGCAAGAGACCATGTGCAGGGGAACTGTCCTTTATAAAAACATCAGATCTCGTGAAATTTATTTACTATCACTAGAACAGCATGGGAAAGACCCATCCCCAGGATTACCTCCCACCAGGCCCCTCCCATAACAGGTGAGAATTATGAGAGCTACAATTCGAGATGAGATTTGGGTGGGGACACAGCCAAACCATATCAAGTATCATTCCTGGATCACATCCATCAGATAACTTTTTTACTTTATTTCAAGAACTGGCTGATATTTTCACCCATCCCTTATGGCACATGGCAGTCCTAAATCAAACCTTCTTCTGTTAGGAAAGAAGATGAAGAAAAACAGATATTAGATAGTTAACTAGCATTGTCTGCCAAATTTAATGAGAGGAATATAAAAGTCTAGAGCAACCCAAAATGGAAAGCACACAGAGGCAAACAGGGCCAAGGTTCCTCCAACTTCAAACAAGTTCTGATGATATTGTGTAAAATTCTGGCTCCTGTGTGATGGTGAGATCTATCCTGAAATTTTTGGAATATAGATAAAAATAATTCAGATAAGCCCTCAACCTAGTCTGAATGTGTGTGTGTGTATGTGTGTGTGTGTGTGTGTGTGTGATATGTTTCCACTCAAATATCATCTTGAATTGTAATATCCATAATCCCCATGTGTTGAGGGAGGGTGCTGGTGGGTGATTGGAACATGGGAGCAGGTTCCCCCATGCTGTTCTGGTGATAGTGAGTGAGTTCTCATGAGATATGATGGTTTTATAAATGTCTGGCATTTCCCCTGCTTGCACTTCTCTCTCCTGCTGCCACATGAATGCCCTTGCTGGCCAGGCGCAGTGGTTCACGCCTGTAATCCCAGCACTGTGGGAGGCCAAGGCAGGAGGATCACGAGGTCAGGAGATCAAGACCATCCTGACAAACACGGTGAAACCCTATCTCAATAAAAATATAACAAATTTGCTGGGCATGGTGGCGAGTGCCTATAGTCCCAGCTACTTGAGAGGCTGAGGCAGGAGAATGGTGTGAACCCAAGAGGTGGAGCTTGCACTGAGCTGAGATTGTGCCACTGCACTCCAGCCTGAGCGACAGAGCAAGACTCCATCTCAAAAAAAAAAAAAAAAGAAGAAGTCCTTGCTTCGCCTCCTACCATGATTGTAAGTTTCCTGAGGCTTCCCCAGCCATGTGGAACCATGAGTCAGCTAAATCTCTTTTATTTATAAATTACCTGGTCTTGGTCAGTTCTCTGTAGCCGTGTGAGAATAAACTAAAACAGTGTGTGTGTCTTTTTGCAAATGAAAAGGCCTAAAAACCAGAGGTGGACCCGCTTTGACACTTCTGGCTACCTGAGAGTGGCATCATACTATAGGGGAGATGCTCATGAGAAAACGACAACAGATTAAAATTTAAATTGCCTATTCCTTAATCTGTTCATTACCATAACTCATTATTCTACTTTCTTCTTTAAACTACACACCAAACTTTGGCAACAAGCTTACCTAGGAAAAGTTTTCAGGTTTAAATAAAAAAACACAAAGCAAAATATAATGGGCCCTAGTCAAATACATTGAAAATGTGAAAATGGGCTTAGCACATGAAAGATATTTTGCAAACCATACTGGAAACCTCCTAAAGAGATTATAGCATAAAATAAGTGAAATATGTAGTTAAGTGAATTGTAGTTAAGTGAAATTTGTAGTTTGTATTATATCAAATAAATGGAAAACAAATTATCTCTAAGAACTAATGTAGCAGGACAAGCCACAGACAAAACCTCTCAGACACTGAGTTGTAGAAGGAAGGGCTTTATTCAGTTGGGAGCATCAGCAAGCTACTGCCTTAAAATCCAAGCTCTCCAAGTGCAAAATTTATGTCCCTTTTAAGGGCTCACAACACTAAAGATTTCACATGAAAGGGTCGTGATTGATTTGAGCAAGCAAGGGGTACGTGACAGGGGCTGCATGCACCAGTGGTCAGAGAGAAACAGTACAGGGTGGGAGTTTCACAATGTTCTTCTATACAATGTCTGAAATCTATGAATAACATCGGTTTCTAAGTCATGAGTTGATTTTTAACCACTACGTTTAGGCCAGGCAGGCCCAGGTCCAGTTTTGGGCCTGGAGCCGGGCTGCCTGTCTTTGATTTCACTTCCTTGTTATTTTTTTTTTTTTAAAGAAAAACAGATACTGAGTATAAAACAACATAAAACAATATGAGAGGGTCTCTCTCTTCCCTCAGTAAGATAGCAGATTAAAGACTCAGGGAAAAGTGGGACAGTGGAAAGAAATAAAAATTTATGTGGCACACCAGTATATACATAAAAGACAAAAATAATATCATTATAAAAATAAGTGTTTCAATGGCAACAGATTAAAAATACACTTATAAAATAGTGACATAGAAGGAAAAATTAAGGCAATGGAGCAAAGTGAAATATAAAAGAAAATGAATAAAAAATGTTTTGAAAGAAAATAATGAGTTTGAGTGAAAAAGATTATTTATGGGAGGCGGTTCCAAGATGGCTGAATAGGAACAGCTCCAGTCTACAGCTCCCAGTGTGAGCGATGCAGAAGACGGGTGATTACTACATTTCCAACTGAGGTACTGGGTTCATCCCACAGGTGCTTTTTGGACACTGGGGGCAGGACAGTGGGGGCAGCCCACCGAGTGTGAGCTGAAGCAGGGCGAGGCATCGTCTCACCTGGGAAGCACAAGGGATTAGGGAATTCCCTTTCCTAGCCAAGGGAAGGGGTGACTGATGGCAACTGGAAAATCAGGTCACTCTCACCCTAATACTGTGCTTTTCCAATGGTCTTAGCAAAAGGCACACCAGGAGATTGTGTCCTGTGCCTGGCTCAGAGGGTCCTACACTCACAGAGCCTCACTTGTTGCTAGCACAGCAGTCTGAGATTGAACTGCAAGGTGGCAGAGAGGCTGGAGGAGGGGCGCCCGTCATTGCTGTGGCTTGAGTAGGGAAACAAAGCGACCTCGAAGCTCCAACTGGGTGGAGCCCACCACAGCTCAAGGAGACCTGTCTGCCTCTGCAGACTCCACCTCTGCGGGCAGGGCATAGCCGAACAAAATGCAGCAGAAACCTCTGCAGAATTAAATGTCCCTGTCTGA
The DNA here is from genome assembly GCF_000001405.40 of Homo sapiens. Classification (NCBI taxonomy): domain Eukaryota; kingdom Metazoa; phylum Chordata; class Mammalia; order Primates; family Hominidae; genus Homo; species Homo sapiens. The sequence continues at coordinate 86,093,585 of NC_000003.12, forward strand.
CAGATTTGAAGAGAGTAGTGGTTCTCCCAGCACAGAGTTTGAGATCTGAGAATGGACAGACTGCCTCTTCAAGTGGGTCCCTGACACCCGAGTAGCCTAACTGGGAGGTCCCCCCCAGTAGGGGCAGACTGACACCTCACATGGCTGGGTTCTCCTCTGAGACAAAACTTCCAGAAGAACGATCAGGCAGAAACATTTTCTGTTCACCAATATCCACTGTTCTGCAGCCTCCACTGCTGATACCCAGGCAAACAGGGTGTGGAGTGGACCTCCAGCAAACTCCAACAGACCTGCAGCTGAGGGTCCTGACTGTTAGAAGGAAAACTAACAAACAGAAAGGACATCCACACCAAAACCCCATCTGTACATCACCATTATCAAAGACCAAAGGTAGATAAAACCACAAAGATGGGGAAAAAACAGAGCAGAAAAGCTGAAAATTCTAAAAATCAGAGCACCTCTTCCCCTCCAAAGGAACGCAGCTCCTCGCCAGCAACGGAACAAAGCTGGATGGAGAATGACTTTGACGAGTTGAGAGAAGGCTTCAGACGATCAAACTTCTCCAAGCTGAAGGAGGAAGTTCGAACCCATGGCAAAGAAGTTAAAAACCTTAAAAAAAGATTAGATGAATGGCTAACTAGAATAACCAGTGTAGAGAAGTCATTAAATGACCTGATGGAGCTGAAAGCCATGGCACGAGAACTACTTGATGAAGGCACAAGCCTCAGTAGCCGATTAGATCAACTGGAAGAAAGGGTATCAGTGATTGAAGATCAAATGAATGAAATGAAGCGAGAAGAGAAGTTTAGAGAAAAAAGAATAAAAGAAATGAACAAAGCCTCCAAGAAATATGGGACTATGTGAAAAGACCAAACCTATATCTGACTGGTGTACCTGAAAGTGATGGGGAGAATGGAACCAAGTTGGAAAACACTCTGCAGGATATTATCCAGGAGAACTTCCCCAACCTAGCAAGGCAAGCCAACATTCAAATTCAGGAAATACAGAGAATGCCAAAAAGATGCTCCTCGAGAAGAGCAACTCCAAGACACATAATTATCAGATTCAACAAAATTGAAATGAAGGAAAAAATGGTAAGGGCAGCCAGAAAGAAAGGTCGGGTTACCCACAGAGGGAAACCCATCAGACTAACAGTTGATCTCTCAGCAGAAACTCTACAAGCCAGAAGAGAGTGGGGGCCAATATTCAACATTCTTGAAGAAATGAATTTTCAACCCAGAATTTCATATCCAGCCAAACTAAGCTTCATAAGTGAAGGAGAAATAAAATCCTTTACAGACAAGCAAATACTGAGAGATTTTGTCACCACCAGATCTGCCCTACAAGAGCTCCTGAAGGAAGTACTAAACACGGAAAGGAACAACCGGTAACAGCCAATGCAAAAAAATGCCAAATTGTAAAGACCAACGATTCTAGGAAGAAATTGCATTGACTAACGAGCAAAATAACCAGCTAATATCATAATGACGGGATCAAGTTCACACATAACAATATTAACCTTAAATGTAAATAGACTAAATGTTCCAATTAAAAGATACAGACTGACAAATTGGATAGAGTCAAGACCCATCAGTGTGCTGTATTTAGGAGACCCATCTCATGCACAGAGACACAAATAGGCTCAAAAGAAAGGGATGGAGGAAGATCTAACAAGCAAATGGAAAACAAAAAAAGAAGGGGTTGCAACCTTAGTGTCTGATAAAAAAGAGTTTAAACCAACAAAACTCAAAAGGGACAAAGAAGGCCATTACATAATGGTAAAGGGATCAATTCAACAAGAAGAGCTAACTTTCTTAAATATATATGCACCCAATAAAAGAGCACCCAGATTCATAAAGCAAGTCCTTAGAGATCTACAAAGAGACTTAGACTCCCACATAATAATAATGGGAGACTTTAACACCCCACTGTCAACATTAGACAGATCAACGAGACAGAAAGTTAACAAGGATATCCAGAAATTGAACTCAGCTCTGCACCAAGCAGACCTAATAGACATCGACAGAACTCTCCACCCCAAATCAACAGAATGTACATTCTTCTCAGCACCACATCACACTTAATACAAAATTGACCACAGAGTTGGAAGTAAAGCACTCCTCAGCAAATGTAAAAGAACAGAAATTATAACAAACTGTTTCTCAGACCACAGTGCAATCAAACTAGAACTCTGAATTAAGAAACTCACTCAAAACCGCTCAACTTCATGGAAACTGAACAACCTGCTCCTGCATGACTACTGGGTACATAATGAAATGAAGGCAGAAATAAAGATGTTCTTTGAAACCAATAAGTACAAAGACACAACATACCAGAATCTCTGGGACACATTTAAAACATGTGTAGAGGGAAATGTATAGCAATAAATGCCCATAAGAGAAAGCAGGAAAGATCTAAAATTGACACCCTAATATCACAATTAAAAGAACAAGAGAAACAAGAGCAAACTCATTCAAAAGCTAGCAGAAGGCAAGACATAGCTAAGATCAGAGCAGAACTGAAGGAGATAGAGACACAAAAACCCTTCAAAAAATCAATGAATCCAGGAGCTGGTTTTTTTGAAAAGATCAACAAAATTGATAGACCACTAGCAAGACTAATAAAGAAGAAAAGAGAGAAGAATCAAATAGATGCAATAAAAAATGATAAAGGGATATCATCAATGATCCCACAGAAATACAAACTACCATCAGAAAATACTATAAACACCTCTACACAAATCAACTAGAAAATCTAAAAGAAATGGATAAATTCCTGGACACATACACTCTCCCAAGACTAAACCAGGAAGAAGTTAAATCCCTGAATAGACCAATAACAGGCTCTGAAATTGAGGCAATAATTAATAGCTTACCAACCAAAAAAAGTCCAGGACCAGATGGATTCACAGGCGAATTCTACCAGAGGTACAAGGAGGAGCTGGTACCATTCCTTCTGAAACTATTCCAATCAATAGAAAAAGAGGGAATCCTCCCTAACTCATTTTATGAGGCCAGCATCATCCTGATACCAAAGCCTGGCAGACACACAACAAAAAAAGAGAATTTTAGACCAATATCCCCGATGGACATCGATGTGAAAATACTCAATAAAATACTGCAAACGGAATCCAGCAGCACATCAAAAAGCTTATCCACTATGATCAAGTGGGCTTCATCCCTGAGATGCAAGGCTGGTTCAACATATGCAAATCAATAAATGTAGTCCAGCATATAAACAGAACCAAAGACAAAAACCACATGGTTATCTCCATAGATGCAGAAAGGCTTTTGACAAAATTCAATAGCCCTTCATGCTAAAAACTCTCAATAAATTAGGTATTGATGGGACGTATCTCAAAATAATAAGAGCTATTTATGAAAAACCCACAGCCAATATCATACTGAATGGGCAAAAAGTGGAAGCATTCCCTTTGAAAACTGGCACAAGACAGGGATGCCCTCTCTCATCACTCCTATTCAACATAGTGTTGGAAGTTCTGGCCAGGGCAATCAGGCAGGAGAAAGAAATGAAGGGTATTCAATTAGGAAAAGAGGAAGTCAAATTGTCCCTGTTAGCAGATGACGTGATTGTATATATCTAGAAAACCCCATTGTCTCAGCCCAAAATCTCATAAAGCTGATAAGCAACTTCAGAAAAGTCTCAGGATACAAAATCAATGTGCAAAATTCACAAGCATTCTTATACACCAATAACAGACAAACAGCCAAATCACGAGTGAGCTCCCATTCACAATTGCTTCAAAGAGAATAAAATACCTAGGAATCCAACTTACAAGGGATGTGAGGCATCTCTTCAAAAAGAACTGCAAACCACTGCTCAATGAAATAAAAGAGGATACAAACAAATAGAAGAACATTCCATGCTCATGGATAGGAAGAATCAATATCATGAAAATGGCCATACTGGCCAAGGTAATTTATAGATTCAATGCCATCCCCATCAAGCTACCAAAGACTTTCTTCACAGAATTGGAAAAAACTACTTTAAAGTTCATATGGAACCAAAAAAGAGCCCGCATTGCCAGGACAATCCTAAGCCAAAAGAACAAAGCTGGAGGCATCATGCTACCTGATTTCAAACTATACTACAAGGCTACAGTAACCAGAACAGCATGGTACTGGTACCAAAACAGAGATATAGACCAATGGAACAGAACAGAGCCCTCAGAAATAATACCACACATCTACAAATATCTGATCTTTGACAAACCTGACAAAAACAAGCAATGGGGAAAGAATTCCCTATTTAATAAATGGTGCTGGGAAAACTGGCCAGCCATATGTAGAAAGCTGAAACTGGATGCCTTCCTTACACCTTATACAAAAATTAATTCAAATGGATTAAAGACTTAAATATTAGACCTAAAGCCATAAAAACCCTAGAAGAAAACCTAGGCAATACCATTCAGGACATAGGCATGGGCAAGGACTTCATGTCTAAAACACCAAAAGCAATGGCAACAACAGCCAAAATTGACAAATGGTATCTAATTAAACTAAAGAGCTTCTGCACAGTAAAAGAAACTACCATCAGAGTGAACACACAACCTACAGAATGGGAGAAAATTTCTGCAATCTACTTATCTGACAAAGGGTTAATATCCAGAATCTACAAGAAACTGAAACAAATTTACAAGAAAAAAACAACCCCATCAGCAAGTGGGCAAAGGATATGAACAGACGTTTCTCATAAGAAGACATTTATGCGGCCAAAAGACACATGAAAAAATCCTCATCATCACTGGCCATCAGAAAAATGCAAATCAATACCAGAATGAGATACCATCTCACACCAGTTAGAATGACAATCATTAAAAAGTTAGGAAACAACAGGTGCTGGAGAGGATGTGGAGAAAAAGGAACACTTTTACACTGTTGGTGGGACTGTAAACTATTTCAACCATTGTGGAAGACAGTGTGGCGATTCCTCAGGGATCTAGAACTAGAAATACCATTTGACCCAGCAATCCCATTACTGGGTATAAACCCAAAGGATTATAAATCATGCTGCTATAAAGACACATGCACACGTATGTTTATTGCGACACTATTCACAATAGCACAGACTTGGAACCAACCCAAATGTCCAACAATGATAGACTGGAATAAGAAAATGTGGCACATATACACCATGGAATACTATGCAGTCACAAAAAGGATGAGTTCATGTCCTTTGTAGGGTCATGGACAAACCTGGAAACCATCATTCTCAGCAAACTATCGCAAGAACAAAAAACCAAACACCGCATGTTCTCACTCATAGGTGGGAATTGAACAATGAGAACACTTGGACACAGAAAGGGGAACATCACACACCGGGGCCTGTTGTGGGGTGGGGGGAGGGGGGAGGGATAGCATTAGGAGATATACCCAATATAAATGAGGAGTTAATGGGTGCAGCACACCAACATGGCACATGCATACATATGTAACAAACCTGCACATTGTGTACATGTACCCTAGAACTTAAAGTATAATAAAAAAAGATTATTAATATATGCATTATTGCTGTGCCTTTTAAAGAAAGCAAAGCAAATGAAATAGAATACATGGAAGCAGAAATAAATAAAAAGGTTTTTTGAGGAGATAATTCAAAAATACATATAAATTAAATAACCCTTTGAATATACACACTAAAGTCGTAACTGATGTTTAGAAATAAATTGATGTGGGTCAGTTAGCATAAGTGTACATCAGGAAAAAACTCTATGGCTCTAGGAGGAAAATTTAATATATCTATAAGTTGGAAAAAATAAGGTTGGGTTCAGAATCAGACTACAATAACACAAAAATCAGAAAACGGAGAAGCATTGTTTCAAAATCATCTGGGAAGTAATGTGTATTTCAAGAATTTTAGATCAAGCTAAACTCTTATTAACCTTGAGTTCAATAGAGAAATATATGACTTCAGAAAACATGACCCTAATATGCCAATTTAGAGGAAATCTTTAGAAAGAGATGAATAGGACAACTTGGCAAAACTAGTGAGTTTTTAAATATTTGTAAATGCCAATTAAGTTACACAACTTTCATAGGAGGTAAGAGAATACGAAACGAAAACAATCGCTATACATTTTAGTGATAAATAAATAATAAAAATACAAATCAATAAAATTCAGGAGTTTTAGGATATAAAGAAGAGTAATGATGATACGAGGCCATGGAGACCATGGAAAACGTGGAGGAAAGAAAAAGAATATAGAGGCATCTTAACATAGTGGTTAAACTTCTCTCTGGTGTCTAACTGTTTTGAGTTGAAAGCCCAGCTCTGCCTTTTGTTAGCTCTGACCTTGGACTAGTTGTTTATCCTCCTTGTGCTTGCTACTTTATAACTGCATAAAGGTATGTTGGAGTTTTCCTATCTCATATGTTTGTTAGGAACATTATACAAGAGACTTAGTATTTCCAGATTACTTACAACAGTGATTCACACATGTCAACCACTGGAAAAGTATTCTTTAAAAACATAGTGTTTCACAGCCCTGTCTTTAATACTACCTGGATTTAACTGCTGGATCCAAGCTTTAGAAAGGAGAGCCTAGAATTCTAGGTTTATCTTCTCCTACCCCCTTGGTTTCTCCAAAAGGAAAATAGACTTAAATTTCCTCATCAATATGAATTATGCTTCTACACAATTTAAAATAAAGAAAGGGCTACAATAACTCTTTCTTAAACTGTATGTATCTTAAATACACTGCATAAGTGTGTTTCTGCTTTTCTGTTTTTGTTTCATAAAATTTTTAAGATATAAATATATTTGCCTTCTATTGCCTTAAAACTCCCCTCCTCCCATTTATTAGGTTCCATGTATCTTGCAGTCTCATGTAATGTTCTTCTGGATGTATTATAATTTGTTTTATCAATATCTTGTTTTGAGACCTTCAGTTTGTTTATTTGCGATTGTAAAGAATGCTCTTATGAGTAATCTTTTAGTGGTATCTTTAAACTCATTGATTCTTATTTTTATGTATATTCTTAGAAGTGGTATTGATGACTCAAAGGGGTTGTTTTATAATTTATAATTATTTTAAAAATATTACTCATAAAATTTATAGCAAGTTTTGTTTCCATCAGCACTGAGAGTTGCTGTTTATACCTCTGCTAACAACTGATAGCAACATCCATTTTAATCACTGTAAGTTTTTAAAGCATCAGTCACCTTATTGCTTAATTTTGCATATCGTTTGTTACTAGTGACAGAATAAATGTTAAATGTAGCATTTGAGAGTCAAAGTTTTACATTCAAATCCTAAATTTTCTAAATTCTGTAAGCCTGTCCTTATGCAAGTTAATCTCACTTAGACTCAGTTTCTTCATCTGTGAAATAGGAAAAATTCTCCTGCCTTCCTTGAAGTTTTTTTGGAATTTTTTAAAAATTTAATTTAATTTAACGTTAAGTTCCAGGATGTGCAAGTTTGTTATGTAAACGTGTGATATGGTGGTTTGCTGCTCCTATCAACCCATCACCTACCTATTAAGCCCCACATGCATTAGCTACTTATCCTGATGATCTCCTTCCCTCGGCCCCCTGGCAGGCCCCAGTGTGTGTTGTATCCCCTCCCTGTGTCAATTGTTCTCATTGTTCAGCTTCCACTTATAAATGAGAACATGTGGTGTTTGGTTTTCTATTCTGCCTTAGTTTGCCAAGGATAATGGCTTCCAGCTCCATCCATGCCCCTGCAAAGGACATGACTTTGTTCCTTTTTTATCGCTGCATAGTACTCCATAGTGTATATGTACCACATTTTCTTGACCCAGTCTATCATTGATGAGCATTTGGGTTGATTCCATCTCTTTGCTATTGTGAATAGTGCTGTAATGAACATACACATACATGTATCTGTATAATAGAATAATTTATATTGCTTTGGGTATATCCCTAGTAATGGAATTGTTGGGTCAAATGGTATTTCTTGTTCTAGGACTTTGAGGAATAACCACACTGTCTTCCACAATGTTTGAACTAGTTTACATTCCCACCAATAGTGTAAAAGCATTCCTATTTCTCCACAGCCTCACCAGCATCTGTTTTTTCTTGACATTTTAATAGTCACCATTCTGACTGGCATTAGGTAGTATCTCATTGTGGTTTTGATTTGCATTTCTCTAATGATCAGTGATGTTGAGCTTTTTTTTTTTTCCATGTTGGTCAGCCACATAAATGTCTTCTTTTGAGAAGTGTCTGTTCATGTCCTTTGCCCACTTTTTAATGGCATTGTTTTTTTCTTGTAAATTTTTTAAAGTTCCTTGTAGATTCCGGATATTAGACCTTAGTCAAGTGGATAGATTGCAAAAATTTTCTCCCATTCTGTAGGTTGTCTGTTAACTCTGATGATAGTTTCTCTTGCTGTGCAGAAGCTCTTAGTTTAATTAGATTCCATTTGTCCATTTGGGCTCTTGTTGCAACTGCTTTTTACAATTTCATCATGAAATCTTTTTCTGTGCCCATGTCCTGAATGGTATTGTCTAGATTTTCTTCTAAGATTTTTATAGTTTTGGGTTTTACATTTAAGTCTTTAATCCATCTTGATTTGATATTTGTATAAGGTGTAAGGAAGGGGTGCAGTTTCAATTTTCTGCATATGGCTAGCCAGTTTTCCCGGCACTATTTATCAAATAGGGGATCCTTTCCCCATTGCTTGTTTTTACCAGGTTTGTCGAAGATCAGGTGGTTGTAGATGTGTGTTCTTATTCCTCAGATCTCTATTCTGTTCTATTGCTCTGTGACTGTTTTTGTGCCAGTACCATGCCGTTTTAGTTATTGTAGAATTGAAGTACAGTTTGAAGTCAGGTAGCATGATGCCTCCAGCTTTGTTCTTTTTGTGTAAGATTGTCTTGGCTATATGGGCTCTTTTTTGGTTCCATATAAATTTTAAAGCAGTTTTTTATTTCTAATTTTGTGATGAATGTCAATGATAGTTTAGTGGGAATAGTATTAAATCTATAAATTACTTTGGGAAGTATGGACATTTTCATGATATTGATTCTTCCTATCCATGAGCATGGCGTGTTTTTCCATTTGTTTGTGTCCTCTCTTATTTCCTTGAGAAGTGGTTTGTAATTCTCCTTGAAGAGGTCCTTCACTTCCTTTGTTAGCTGCATTCCTAGGTATTTTATTCTCTTTGTAGCAATTGTGAATGGGAGTTCATTCATGATTTGGTTCTTTGATTGACTATTGTTAGTGTATAGAAATGCTTGGGATTCTTGCTCATTGATTTTGTATCCTGAGACTTTGCTGAAGTTGCTTATTAGCTTAATAAGCTTTTGGACTGAGATGATGGGGTTTTCTAGATACAGGATAATGTTATCTGCAAACAGAGAGTTTGACTTCCTCTCTTCCTATTTTGAATACCCTGTATTTCTTTCTCTTGCCTGATTACCTTGGCCAGAACTTCCAATACTATGTTGAATAGGAGTGGTGAGAGAGGGCACCCTTGTCTTGTGCCAGTTTTCTAGGGGAATGCTTCCAGATTTTGCCCATTTAGTATGATATTGGCTGTGGTTTTGTCATAAATGGCTCTTAACATTTTGAGTTATGCTCCATCAGTACATAGTTTACTGAGAGTTTTTAATCATGAAGAGATGTTGAATTTTGTCGAAGGACTTTTCTGCATCTATTGAGATAATCATGTGGGTTTTGTCCTTAGTTTTGTTCATGTGATAAATTATGTTTATTGATTTGCATATATTGAACCACCCTTGCATCCCAGGAATGAAGCTGACTTGATTGCGGTGGATAAGCTTTTTGATGTGCTGCTGGATTGGGTTTGCCAGTATGTTATTGATGATTTTTGCATTGATGTTCATCAGGGATATTGGCGTGAAGTTTTCTTTTTTTAGTATCCCTGCCAGGTTTTGGTATCGGCATGATGCTGGCATCATAAAATGAGTTAGGGAGAAGTCCCTCCTTTTCAATTCTTTGGAACAGTTAAAGAAGAAATGGTACCAGCTGCTCTTTGTACTTCTGGTAGAATTCAGCTGTGAATCCATCTGTCCTTGGGCTTTTATTGGTTGGTAGGCTATTTATTACTGTCTTAACTTCAGAACTTGTTATTAGTCTGTTCAGGGATTAAACTTATTCCTGGTTCAGCCTTGGGAGGGTGTATGTGTGCAGGAATTTATTCATTTCTTCTAGACTTTATGGTGTATTTGCATAGAGGTGTTTATAGTATCCTTGATGGTTGTTTGTATTTTTGTGGTGTTAGTGGTGATATCCCCTTTGTAATTTTTTATTGTGTGTATTTGATTCTTCTCTCTTTTCTTCTTTATTAGTCTAGCTAGTGGTCTACCTATTTTATTAATTTTTTCAAAAAATCAGCTCATGGATTCATTGATTTTTTGCAGGGTTTTTTGTGTCTCTGTCTCCTTCAGTTCCTCTCTTACCTTGGTTATTTCTTGTCTTCTCCTAGCTTTGAGGTTTGTTTGCTCTTGGTTCTCTATTTCTTTTAGTTGAGATATTAGGATGTCTATTTGAGATCTTTCTAGCTGCTTGAAGTTTTTTAGAGGGTTTAATGAATATATTGCATGTAGAGCTGCTCTCACATGGCATATGATTAATAATTGATGTCTATCAAAAATGTATCCTTCACATGTTTGTTAGTGACATATATTTTTAGGTAGAGCATCTTCATGTTCTTTGCATGTTTGCATTGAGTATTTGTTAAAACCCTCTTCCCTCTTTTTATTAGTAGGAGGGCTGTCGCATGCAAATTGGCCCCCAGGAGATTGGTATGCTGCTTGCCAGCTTTCAGCTTGTGGTGGCTGTCCTTGCCTTGTGGCTCCCAGAAAAGCTGCTTTAGAAAACTACTGATTCTAATGCCAAATAGTGGTTGTAATTTCCTCATTTGTGCCTAGCCTACTCTTTTCTTCTTTTTCCACAAGTCCACAATCTCTGATTTCTCCCTATAATTCAACTATAAGGCTGGCCTTGCTGTTCTCCTTTTCTCTGGTCCCATCTGTACTGTAGCTAACAGAAATTAATCCACATTCCTGTCAATGTATGTAGTTATTTTCCAGTTTATAGTTCTGATGCACATGTCTCATTTCCAGGATTGATTCTTGAAAAACTTGTGTTCATTTTCCTACTTTACTCAAAGTTAATACAGGAAACATATTCAGACAATCAATATTTATAGATGTTGGCTTTGTCAACTTTTTTATGTGGATTTTTTCCCCATCTGAGAAACAATTAATATAACCTTCATTCTTCAAATGTTCTTTGTTGGCTTCCAGGTGCCTAAAAATAAGTAAAAATACGAAAAGTCATGTTTAATCTTATATCATATTTGAACCTGCTTACATGTCTCCTGTTTGAACATTGTATTGAATGTAAATCTTTCACTGTTTTTGTTTTTCTTTGTCAGAACTAAAAAAGAATGCTCTTCTCTTTTTAGAGATTTATTCTCTACTCAAAGTACTTCCAACCGTGGGAACAGTACATTATGAAACACAGCATGGTTTCTAACAAATTGCTAATTAAGATCTGTTACTGTATATTGGTGTGACTGGTGGGAAATAAAAGTACTGAAAATCTTATTCAGACATTAAGATTATGTTATTATATAGGTAATATAAATTATTTCTACTTAACTTTGTTTTCATCCTTTTGGTCATATTGTTCTGGAAACTAGGTATCTTTATATAAAAGCAAAAATGAAGAACATCTTCAAATGTAGAAAAAAACTAAAAATGTAAGCTTTGGAGGAAATATGTATATATAAAAATAGTGTGTTTGCATCTCTAGAAGCTCAAAATGCTTCCCTGATCCTGCTTGCCAAATCAAAGTGCTTGTCAAAGCTAATCATCTACCATGATCCCTCTCTATCAAGATGGAACAAGAATAACCTACTGTTAACTAGTACAATACTGTTACCCATATTTTTGCTTAATCTGTTTGAGCTTGGGTCTGTGAAAATATGTAAGAATTGTATACAGTTTCTCCACTAAAGAGGAAGATTTACTACAAGTGCATCCTTACATAATTTTTAATTCCTGTTACCATGACCTACTTCAGTGGACCTCAAAGTTTCCTACCCTTTTCTATCTCTCAAATCTCTTGAATTCTATGCTAACTCTTCCTTTCTTATTTACTAGTTACTAAATTAATTCAAGCACTTTACAGTCTTGCTATGTAAGTGTTACACCTGAATTAATTACAGTGTTATAACTGGGAGTTTTTATAAATGTAGAATTCCATTCTACATTCCAGACTGAGGCAAAATGTGCATTTTAAAGTGAAGAAAATATGCACATCAAAGGTTGAAGTCTGGGTGCAGTGGCTGATGCTTGTAATCCCAGCACTTTAGGAGGCTGAGGCAGGTGGATCACTTGAGCTCAGGAGTTCAAGACCAGCTTGGGCAAATAACGAAAAAAATATATACAAAAATAGCCAGGCATGGTGGCTCACACCTGTAGTCCCAACTACCTGGGGGGCTGAGGCAGGAGGATCACTTGAGCCTAGGAGGTCAAAGTTGCAGTGAGCTGTGTTCACACCACTGCACTCTAGCCTGGATTACAGAGCAAGTCTCTGTCTCAAAAAATAAAAATAAAAATAAAAAATAAATAAAATTTGAAAAGCATTATCAATAACTGGACCCTTGTCAGCCATTTTCTCTGTAACTCCTTGTTTGATTTATGTGGTACAAAAAATTCCCTAATAATCAAATCAATTTATGCCACATATCAACTTTTCTTCTAGGCTTTCTTCAGTGTATTCCAATGTTGGCCAATGTTCCTTTCTAAAGTTTCCTTGCCTGAGTCTTCTATAGCATTTGTGAGACTTCCCCTTCTTCTTTTGGAAATGCACCTTTGTCCCTGTTCTCTTTCTTCCAACAATAATGATAGGGACACTCCAATGTTCTGGATTCTGCCATCATTTCTTTCTTTTTTATTCCTTGATGAAATTATATGTTTTCTTAAAACTTGAATGATTACTTTGAAGTACCTTTGACTTCCAAAGCTTTGTCTATGGCCCACATTGCATTTATCCACTCAGATATCTTTCACCTTGAATTGCTTTTTAAGCATCTTGATTTGGACATCCTCAAAATCAATGTGTTCAAACTGAACTTAGAGTTTTTCTTCCAAAACTAGAATATTTTTATTTCTCTTAGGTTATTATGCAAAATGTCATGGTTTATTTCTCACCTGTGTAAAATCTTTAAAGTTGTGGATCAGTTTAACCTATTATCACCTTTCAATTAATGTGAACCCATAAAAGAAAACAGTTTACTGTATAGGGTTACATGGCAAACCAAATTCTTGAATTTAAATGTCCATTTTGTTCTATTCTATCGAAATACTTCTTTGGCATATGTAATGGAGTTCTATAAATCAGCATTATTATAATAATATAGAAAAAGGATAGTTGAGTAAGTGAAACAATCCTACAGAATGAAGCATACAAAGAATGCCAAATAGCTGTCTTAAGTGCATGCAAATTACACATACCAATATTTCTATGTTTATCTATCTGTCAGAAAAAGGAAAATTCAAAAGAAATTATTAACAATGGCCCACCATGGCTACGGTCAGGCACATGGATAATAAACCCTAGGTCTACAAACTAAAGCTGACCTCTTGCCTGTGTAACTGGGGTTTTTAAGATATTTCATGGAGACATATTGGTCATAAACCTCCTTATCAGATGTAGAACAAAGACAGGATAGAATTAGTCACCTTCCTCCAGACCTTCCCCTAGTCACCAAGATGCCTAAATGTTTTCCCTAACACTCAATCACATATTTACCTAATCTTGTGTATAAAGTCACTGAGCACCAATCAAAATCACAAGAATGTAACTGTTGCTTTACAACCTGTTTCTCCCACTTTCTGTGCCACATATATCTCCCTGTTGGAAAATGCTTATGTACTCTACCACATGTAATCTACTTTGGGACACACTTTTGGTTTACATTGAGTCTGTGTTTCTGGTTTTAAGCCCTCAAACTTGGCTCAGAATAAATCTTACCATTATTTCTCTAAGTTCTAGTACCTGTGTTCATGTTTTCTTTTTCTGTCACCCAGGCTGGAGTGCAGTGTCGTGATCTCGGCTCACTGCAAGCTCTGCCTCCCTGGTTCACACCATTCTCCTGCCTCAGCCTCCCGAGTAGCTGGGACTACAGGTGCCTGCCACCACACCCAGCTAATTTTTTGTAGTTTTAGTAGAGACGGGCTTTCACCGTGTTAGCCAGAATGGTCTCGATCTCCTGACCTCATGATCCACCTGCCTCGGCCTCCCAAAGTGCTGGGATTACAGGCGTGAGCCACTGTGCCCAGCCTATGTTTTATTTTTCTACCAACACACCTGTGGGTACAAGAATGACTTTATTTTAAATGCTAATCCACAGACTAACCTCAGCTCTGGGAATGCCTCCAAAACGTTTAGTTGATGTATTACTCTTTATATAGGAACATCTATTCACTATCAGTTTCATCCAAAGCAACCCATGATGCTGTTGCAGAAATCATAGGCTGTGACACTCATAGCCACCTACAAATTCCTTCCAGAGCACATATATTTTTTCTCTAAGATATAAGCCCTTGGACTTGGGGGTTGTGGTACAGAGATCTACCTGATTTGAGGCTTCTCAAGACCACGCTTCTGTCTGTAAGTCCCCCCTAACAAGTCACCCTACACCCACAAACAGAATTTGTCTGCCTCCTTCTTTGGTTTCATGGTTCCTTTGGCATTTGGGGGCCTCTTTGCATGTATGGCCCTTTCACGATCAAATAAGCAATCAAACTAGGAGGAGTCAGGAAATCAAAGTTGTGAAGGAGAAAGAAACGTCCATGAGGGAAATCCCAAGGGGCCCTCCTCATCTGTAGGTTGCTGTGTTGCCCATTTGCTAGAAGCCTGTTAACAACCACATGAATATAGGGATGCTCTGAAAATGCCAGAGGGTCTAGAACATTTGTTAGTAAAAAGCTGTGGTGAAAAGGGTTGCCAAGTGATGGCAACAGGGAGGTGGCCATTATTACGGTTTTGTAAGCATTGGAAGCACATGCAGTGGCTGAGATGAGTGAGTGTACAAAAGTTAGAAGAATTACAGTTAGAAACTGATATGAGGACTTCCATGTCTGCATTAGTGTTACACGCGTCCATGTGAAGAGAACACCAAACAGGCTTTGTGTGAGCAATAAAGCTTTTTAATCACCTGGGTGCAGGCAGACTGAGTCCGAAAAAGGAGTTCACAAAGGGAGATAGGGGTGGGGCAGTTTTATAGGATTTGGGTAGGTAGTGGAAAATTATAGTCAAAGGGGGTTGTTCTCTTGTGGGCAGGGGCGGGGGTCACAAGGTGCTTGGTGGGGAGCTTCTGACACTCATTGTCCAGGAGAAGGAATGTCACAAGTTCAATTGATCAGTTAGGGTGGGGCAGGAACAAATCACAACAGTGGAATGTCATCAGTTAATGCAGGAACTGCCTATTTTCACTTCTTTTGTGGTTCTTCAGTTGCTTCAGGTCATCTGGATGTATATGTTCAGATCACAGGGGATATGATGGTTTAGCTTGGGCTCAGAGGCCTGACAGTGTCTTATCTGGCTGATAAGCTTGAAATTCCGGAAGCACAGCTAGAAACCCTCGCCAGCCACTGTTCACAGCTGGGAGAGAGGAATCTGCACTGGCTGAAAATGAGGGCTGTCCTTGCCAAAGCAGATTGGGATGCAAATATCTGGAAGCCTTGGGAATCACCTAGTGAATCAGATGAAGACACAGATCTTGAAGGAGGAGGATAATTATCCTTCTCTTTTGAGAGCAAGACTACACATGCAGCAGAAAGCAAAATCCCAATGCATGTAGCCAGGCAATAAAGAACAGCCTTTCAGGAAATCTTCACTGCCTGGAAGTGCTCATCAGAAAAATTACTGGACAATGCAAAAACTTTTAAACAGTTGCCTAAAGAAAGTTTAGCCAAATGGATTGTGTGGCTATGGGAAACTGGTGAGGATGGCATTTTCCCAGCAGGAAATGAAGCTGAAAAAATGAGTAATGTAACCACTTATGCAACTTTGAGACAATATTTGCACAGTTTTAGAACTGTCCAGGGTAATCATAGCCTGATGGACTGAATTATAGAGGCCATGAGAGAGACACGGCTAAATGAAGGAGACTTCCCTGAGCACAGCTCGCCATGACAGTCTTTGGAAGAACTGCAGACCCCTATAAGAGTTATGCATGTGCCAGTGTATATAAGCCCAACAATTTAAAGGACCAGATAATGCTGTGTTTACTGTAGATATGAAAAACAAATATTTACAGAATGCTTGCCAGGAACGGCACAGGCCTCTCATATTCCTCTTGATCCCCCTTGTGGGATAAGATGTATATGATGTGGGGAAGCTATTCTTGGAGAAACTGAAAAGGGAAGAGATAAAGTCTGGCTGCTTATTTAAAGAAAAGAGGGAAAAGGAGATGCTAACTCGACTGGACTGAAAAAGGGAGATCAAGTTGAAATTACTAGGAAATAAATGTTTTTTGATCTCATTTCAGCCAAGGTAGACCAAAAGAAAATAGACTGGCAACCAAATTGCAATTGGTGGGCCTTTGGAAAGACCTGACTCTCAAGAAGACCCCTCCTTAGTTCCTTACCCTGAGGGAGAAGGAGAAAAGAAGTTCCACATAAAAGAACCACAATATCTGTGTTCCTGGGGTGGACTTACTCCCAGCTTAAGAGACTGGGCCAAGGTTGCCTCTGCATACAAGCAATAGGGGCTGGTCAGAGGCCCCATTTGGAGTTCCCTGTTTTATTAGAGTCCAAAAAATTAACAGAGAACCTTGACTTTAGTGCAGAATGCACTTTAATTTATAAAAAATCCAGAGATACACCCTAGTTAATGGGCAGCTGTAGACGGTTACAGGGGGTGAACAATCCCAGTGAAACAAACTCGTCTCCACATTGGTATTTGGCATTCTCCCAATTTACTATACTGCCTTTATCTTTCCAATTCCAGAAAACATTTTGGGTATGGATGTCCAGTTAGGATGCACATTGCAAAAATCTGTGGGCAAATTTCACCCATGGGTTTGGGCAGTAAAGTCAATTTTAAGAAGGGAAGAAAAATGGGAACCTATATACCTTCTTCCCCCAGGCAGGTTATTCATGTAAAACTATACCATCTTCTTGGTTGGATAGAAAAAGTCACAGCCACCATAAAGAAACTGGCTAATGTTAATATTTTGCAGCCAGCCCACAGTCATTCAACAGTCCTGTATGACCAGTAAGGAAACCTGATGGCAACTGGTGCATGAAAGTAGACTACCAGGAACTAAATAAGATGGTTCCTGAGATGAATGCTGCTATGCCCAGTATAATGCAAGTGATAAATCAAATAGTACAAAACATAGGCACATATCGTGTTGTATGAGATTTGGCTAATGAGTTCTTTAGCATTCCTTTACACCCTGACTCGCAGGACCAATTTGTTTTTATTTGGAATAGCCAGCAATGAACATTTCAAGGGTTGCCCCACAGTTATCTACATAGTCCCATCACTTTTCATTGTATGATTGCTAGAGATCTAACTCTCTGTCCTTTCACTCTCTGTCCACTGACACTTGCTCTTAAATAGTTCATTACTGATATGGTTTGGCTGTGTCCCCATCCAAATCTCATCTTGAACTGTAGCTCCCATAAATCCCATATGTTGTGGGAGGCAACAAGTGGGAGACAATTGAATCATGGGGGCAGTTTCCCCCATACTGTTCTCCTGGTAGTGAATAAGTTTCACAAGATCTGATGGTTTTATAAGGGGATTCCCCTTTCACTTGGCTCTCATTATCTCTTATCTGCCACCATGTAACACATGACTTTCACCTTCCGCCATGATTAGTGAGGCCTCACCAACCATGTGGAACTGTGAGTCCATTAAATCTCTTTTTCTTTTTTCTTTTCTTTTATTTTTTTGAGGTGGAGTTTTGTTCTTGTTGCCCAGATTGGAGTGCAATGGCATGGTCTTGGCTCACTGCAACCTCTGCCTCCCAGGTTCAAACTATTCTCCTGCCTCAGCCTCCTAAGCAGCTGGGAATACAGGCATCCACTACATGTCTGGTTAATTTTTTTTTTTTTTGTATTTTTAATAGAGATGGGGTTTCACCATGTTGGTCAGGCTGGTCTTGAACTCCTGACCTCAGGTAATCTGCTCACCTTGGCCTCCCAAAGTGCTGGCATTACAGGAATGAGTCGCCACACCTGGCTAAAACTCTTTTTCTTTATAAATTACCCAGTCACAGGTATATCTTTATCAGCAGTGTGAAAATGAACTAATCCAGAAAATTGGTACCAGTACAGTGGGGCACTGCTCTAAAGATACCCAAAAATGTGGAAGCAACTTTGGAACTGGGTAACAGTAGAAGTTTGAACAGTTTGGAGGGCTCAGAAGAAGACAGGACAATGTGGGAAAGTTTGGAACTTCCTAGAGACTTGTTGAACGGTTTTGACCAAAAGCCTGATAGTGATATGGACAATGAAATCCCGGCTGAGGTGGTCTCAGATGGAGATGAGGAACTTGTTGGGAACTGTAGTAAAGATGATTCTTGTTATGTTTTAGCAAAGAAACTGGTGGCATTTTGCCCTGCCCTAGAAATTTGCAGAACTATGTACTTGAGGGAGATAATTTAGGGTATCTGGCAGAAGAAATTTCTAAGCAGTAAATGATTCAAGAGGTGACTTAGGTGCTGTTTAAAGCATTCAGTTTTAAAAGGGAAGCAAAGCATAAAAGTTTGAAAATTTTGCAGCCTAATGATGCAGTAGAAGAGAAAAACCCATTTTTCTGAGAGAAATTCAAGCCAGCTGAAGAAATTTGCATAAGTAATGAGGATCCAGAAGTTAATTACCAAGACAATTGGAAAAATGTTTTCAGAGCATGTCAGAGACCTTTGCAGCAGCCCCTCTCATCACAGGCCTGGAGGCCTAGGAGGAAAAAAATGGTTTTGTGGGCCGGGCCCAGGGTCTCTCTGCTGTGTGCAGCCTAGGGACTTGGTGACCTGCATCCCAGCTGCTCTAGCCTTGGCTAAAAAAGGCCAAGGTACAGCTCAGGCCATGGCTTCAGAGGGTGCAAGCTTTGCCAGCTTCCATGTGATGTTGAGCCTGTGGGTGCACAGAAGTCAAGAATTGAGGTTTGGAAACCTCCACCTAGATTTCAGAAGGTGTATGGAAATGCCTGGACATCAGACAGAAGTTTGCTGCAGGGGTGAGGCCCTCATGGAGAACCTCTGCTAAGGCAGTGTGGAAGGGAAATGTAGGGTTGGAGCCCCCACACAGAGTCCCCACTGGGGCACTGCATGGTGGAGCTGTGAGAAGAGGGCCACCATCTTTCAGATCCCAGAATGGTAGATCTACTGACAGCTTGCACCATGCACATGGAAAAGCTGCAGATACTCAATGCCAGCCTGTGAAAGCAGCCGGGAGGGGAGCTGTACCCTACAAAGCCACAGGAGTGGAGCTGCCCAAGGCCATGGGAGTCCACCTCTTGCATCAGTGCACCTTAGATATGAGACATGGAGTCAAAGGAAATCATCTTGCAGCTTTAAGATTTGACCTCCCCACTGGATTTTGGACTTACATGGGGCCCATAGCCCCTTTGCTTTGGCCAATTTCTCCCATTTGGAATGACTGTATTTACCCAATGTCTGTACTCCATTGTATCTAGTAACTAATTAGGTTGCTTTTGATTTTACTGACTCATAGGTGAAAGGACCTGCCTTGTCTCAGATGATACTTTGGACTTTGGACTTTTCAATTAATGCTGAAATGAGTTAAGACTTTGGGGAACTGTTGGGAAGGCGTGATTGGTTTTGAAATGTGAGGATATAAGATTTAGGAGGAGCCAGGAGTGGAATGATATAGTTTGGCTGTTTCTCCCACCCAAATCTCAGCTTGAATTGTAGCTCCCATAATTTCCATATGTTGTGAAAGGGAACTAGGAAAAGATAATTGAATCATGGGGGTGGTTTTTTTTTCCATACTGTTCTCATGGTAGTGAATAAGTCTCACAAGATCTGATGGTTTTATAAGCATTTTCCTCTTTCCCTTGGCTTTCATTCTCTCTTGCTTGCAGCCATATAACATGTGACTTTCACCTTTTGCCATGATAGTGAGGCCTCCCCAGCCACATGGAACTGTGAGTCCATTAAGCCTCTTTTTCTTTATAAATTGTCCAGTCTTAGGTATGTCTTTATCAGAAGCATGAAAATGGAGTAATACAATTACATTGATGATATTTTCGTAACTCTTGAAAATTTGTCATCACTATAGCAACACCTTAATGCTTTGTGCATCCTTCTCCAATTCAGAGGATGGGCCATCAACCTGGAGAAGATACAAGGCTCAGGACCAGCTGTAAAGTTTAAAGTTTATAGGGCTCACTTGGTTGGGTAAGACATGCCTTATTCTAGGCATGGTAATCAAAACAGTATACAATTTTCCATGCTTATGACAGTTATGCAGTTACAAATTTTCTTGCCCCTTTTGGGATACTGATGGGCTTTCATTACACATGTAGCTCAATGTTTATATCTCTTATACCAACTAGTAAAGAAGGAATCTCATTGATGTTGGGATAAAAAAGAAGAGTAAGCATTTGAGACAGCTAAAATAGTAGTGGCTCAGGCACAAGCCTTAGATTTTTCCCCTTCCTGGGATACCAATATCTTTAGAAGTGACCATAACCCCTGAGGGGACCTATTGAGCCCACTGGCAAGTCCACCCTGTGAAAGTAGTTCCCTGAGGATTCTAGTCACAACCGTGGAAGGATGCTAAACCCTGCTTTTCCCCAGTTGAACAACAGGTTCAAGGGGCCTTGCAGTAAGTTGAACCCATAACTGTTGCTAGGCTGGTAACAGTAAGAACAGGCCTCTCTACCAAGGGCTGGATAGAGGGGTTGTTTGCCAGGCCTTCCTCAGCTTTAGCCCTGACCTCCACTTTACAAAAATGGCATGGATAACAGCAACGGCATAGTAGCCTCTCCACAAGTCCTTTGGGAAATAAACTGCATACTATCTTAGGGCCAGGACACTTTGAGACCAGTGTTGCCTGTATTGTGGAGTCCCCATAGAAGATACCTCCAATGGTACATGAAGGCAAGGCCCCTATTCCTGAAAATGCTTCGTATTCAAATGGGCCAAGCCAAGGTAACCTGTGCATAGCAGTAGCTGTCCACCCACAGATAGACACCATCTGGTTTGATATGGGAATGCAGAAAAGTAGTCAATGGGCAGAAAATCAAGGTGGATGGTTGGTTGTACCCACAAGCCATAGACTATCATTCTCTGTATAGGCAGTTGAGCAGAATCTCTCTTTTTTTTTTTTTTTTTTTTTTTTGAGATGGAGTCTCACTCTGTCACCAGGCTGGAGTACAGCGGTGCAATCTTGGCTCACTGCAACTTCCGCCTCCTGAGTTCAAGCTATTCTCCTGCCTCAGCCTCCCAGGTAGCTGGGACTATAGGCATGCACCACCACGCCCAGCTAATTTTTGTATTTTTAGTAGAGATGGGGTTTCATCATGTTGGCCAGTATGGTCTCAATCTCTTGACCTCGTGATCCACTGCCTCAGCCTCCCAAAGTGCTGGGATTACAGGCATGAGCCACCGCACACGGCTGTTGAGAAGTATTTAAGAGTCTTAAAACTTGGCTTTCCCAATGGGCTCAGAAGGACTGGCGTATGCTAAAATAACAAACAAACAAATTAACAACAACAACAAAAAACCCCTTATGGTGAGCTTCTATGTAGAAAGACATTTGGGAAAGGCTACAAGAACACATCATGAGCCTAATTGTGTGTTATGTTTCAGCACACAGGTCAGATCACCTTCCAGTAACATGGAGGCTGATACCCTAGCAAAAATTAATGCTGGCTCTCTTACAGTAATCTCAGCTACCTGATTGGGTACGTAAACATAGGGGGCATAGCTGTGCATGAGTGGGCTGGCAAATAGCCAAGGGAGTAGGATTGCCTGTCTCCTATGCAGGTGTAATTATGGCAGTAACGAACTGTTTAATTTGTTCCTGTCTGTGCCATATTACACATTTTCATAAGAAAGCTGCCTCTGTGAGAGATTGGTAAGTAGACTACCTTGGAACCCTGCCAGTAAGCTTGGGACAAAAGTAAGCACTACCATGGGATTGTTGCCATGGGATTGTTGTAGGCCTTCTCTTGTGAAAGCCCAACCAAACAGGTACCATTAAAGTTTTGGAATGACTCCCTGTCATTTATGAATACCCTCAATGCACTGATAGTGACCAAGGCACACATTTCACTGGATATAAAGTCCAAGACTGGGCACATAAAAAGGACATAGACTTAAGATTTAACTTGCCATATAATCTCCAATCAACAGGGTTAATATAAAGGAAAAATGACAGTTAGTTGGCATAGCTGTGAGCTCTTATACAATCCAGTACCCTGCATGGGTATGTGAAGGTTTTGCCTCATGCCATTAGAAATCTTAATTCTGTTGTAACAAATATGAAGCTGACACCATACCAACTTCTCAAGACCTCCAATGAGGTGGGTCCATTAACCATAGCTGTGAAGAAAATCTGACCAGATGCAGTTCTACTGGAGCTGACAAAAGGTCAGTGGGGCTGGGAGTAGTGGTTCATGCTTGTGATCCCAGCACTTTAAGAGCCCCAGGTGGAAGGATTGCTTGAGGTCAGGAGTTTATGACCAGACTGAGGAACACAGCAAGACCCCATCCCTAAAAAATTTTTTAAAAAAAGAAATTAGTTGGCACAGCACTTGTAGCCCACTACTTGGAAGGCTAAGGTAGGAGCATCCCTTGAGCCCAGGGTTTCAAGTCTGTAGTGAACTATGACCACACCATGCACTCCAGACTTGATAGTGTGAGACATTGTCTCTGAAAACTAATTAATTATAATAATTTTTAAATGGCCAGTGGCAAATATTATTTAGGACTCCTGAGGATGCTGAGCCAGGGAAGGGGACACTTTGGGGTTTGTGCTGACAACTTCCCCCAGATTGAATGGAGAATTTTTTGCCAGAGAATAAGAAATTCCCCAGCCAGCTCAAATGGTCTGTTTATCCTGTTGGAGTCTGGGCCAGGACATTGAACATAGAAGTACACTGGAACATGGACCCTTTTAAAAGGTACTCTGGTTGGCTCTTTGACATAGTCCTTTACTGCCCTTGTAACCTTATACATAATATTGGCATCTTTGCCTTTGGACAACATGTTTGGCATGCAACTCTCAGCCCGCAATCCTTGAATTGCCTATATCCAAACTGATAGACATAAAGATACCACAATCATTCTGCTTGATGGATTTTTGGGAAAGAATTCCCTTGCAAGTACATTTGTGTTCTAAACATAGTCTTTGGTTCCTGTCAATGGTCTGCCCTACAAATGGAGAAATGAATCTCTTCCTACAATGGGTTCAACATTGTGCCAAGGGGTTACAAAAGGATGCTTGCTGAGTTTGAAGTTTGTTGCTTTTTTCCAACATCTCTGGTCTGCCTTGGTGGGTATCACCTATGCCAGAGAGGAAATGACTGACAACATTTACAAACACCCATTACAGCTCTTTAACAGTGAGTGGAGTTGTGTATTAGTTGGTGTGACAGGAGGTGATGTAATTATTCAACCCTACAAGACATGCATAAACAAGTAATCATGATATCTCACACTATTTTTTCCTTCTCTCAATGGTTTTCTTCTTAGGTTAGTTCTGGCGGTCCATGGTGGCAAAATGTGCTATTAATTCTTAGTATTGTTCTTGTCATAGGTATCACTTGTTGTTGTTTATATCGCTTTTGTGGTCTTTTCTTACAACTGAAATCTACAGTTGTACAATGTCTGGCACCAGACAGCCCCCTCTAAAGGCTGAAGGACCTTCGTGGAAGAGGTGGGCACATGACAATGTAAGAGCTTGATTAGACAGGGGAAGTGTGAGGATGAGTGACTTTATTTTAAATGCTAATCCAGTGATTAACTTCAAGTCCAGGAATGCCTCCACAACGTCTACTTAACGTACTATTCTTTATGTAGAAAAACTGACTGTGTTTCCTGCAAACAACCTTTGATGCTGTTGCAGAAATCATAGCCTGTGATGCTCATAGCCACCTACACATTTCTTCCACACCATGTATACTTTTCCCTAAGAGATAAGCCCTGGGTCTCTGGGATGGAGATCTACCTGTCTTGAGGCTCTGTCTGTAGGTTCTCCTAATAAACCACCCTATACCAACAAACTGGATATGTCTGCCTCCTTATTTGGTTTCACAGTTCTGTCAGCATTTGGGGGCCTCTTTGATATATGTCCCTTTCATGGAACTATATTAATTTGCCTATTTCTCTAATAATAGATACTAGTAACAGGTCAATGTGATTATAATAATATCTTCCTTGAGGAATTGGTTGGAACATTTGCTGAAAATGGTAGATGACATCTCTATACGCTGTCGTACAGATCCCTTTCTTGATTTACTGTACCAGAACTTCCTTGTTTAATTACCTTAAGTATTACTTTTATATCTTCCAGGTTGAAATAAGTTGGTTGTATCACATCTTTTGTTGGGGTTGATATATGCAATCTGCAGAAATTTCTTGATTTCTTTAATAGCTTCAAATTAGAAGTAAATCCAGATATTTCAATAACTGTATTTCTGTACCTCTTTCTATTTGTTAAAGTGTGTGTTTACTAGTACAGTTACTACACATGTCTTATAGAATAAGGGGTCTAAAATACAGTGAAAGCTGGGGTCCATGGAAAAATAGAGCTGATTTTGGACTTGATTTAAAATCTGTGCTCTGTTGATTATCTGTGTGGCCTGGACAAGTAAGTTAAACTTTCTAAGATTCCATTTCTTTAGCCATAAAATGTAATTATAGATACTTTATGGGGTGTTTCAAAGAATGATAATGATATTGTACAGTGGTTAATAGCACAGGCCTTAAGAATTGTTTAGACTTTTGGTGGAAATCCCGGCTCTAATGGCAACTAACTACGTAATCCTATGTGGTTTATAGAGCTTCTGAACACTTCAGTTTCCTCATCACTAAAGCAGTGATAATAATCTCTATCTCATAGGGTTATTAAAACTGCTAAACAAGGCAATGCATATTCAATATAAAGAAAATTTATCTTTGTCAGTAATTAAAAGTATCTACAATTATATTAACCTCTAAATGGTGTTCAGTTTATACTATTTTTTCCTTTCACCATTTCATAATCATTTCCTTGTGCTTGCTGGGCTATACAGATTTGGATCCAGAAGCTCTGATTTCAGGTGCTTTTTCTGATCATTTCTGGCTATATGTCAATACTATCTCTGAGCTTTACTTTTTCATTTATGGAATTGGGGTTGTAGCTGAAAAACAACTGACAAAAACAGATTCATAGCTAAAATAGCATGCAAATTTATTAATATGCATAGGAGTCTTACAAAGATCTCAAGAAAAGCCAAGATGGTTGATGCATTTATACCATTTTGAGGTTACAGAAAAAATGGGGACTTAAAGTTTGGCAAAAAAAATTATAGTGGTGAAACAAGTTATGAGACAGAGAGCACAGGAGACCTGGCTAGAAAAGGTGGTCTTGTTATGCAGATGAAACCTTACAGACAGCAGTCCTTGGAGAGAATAGATGGTAAATATTTTTTTCAGACATGAAAGCTATCAGACTCTCAGTTAATCTTTCCTATATCAGGACAAGAGACAGCCTCAGAGAAAGCCTGGCCGCATCAATGCACACTTTTTCTACCAAGGCAAATCTCCCCCAAAAAAGACAGCTTTTCAGCTACTTTTACATTTCGATCCTTTCTAAATAGTCATCTTGAAATATGTTAGAAAAAGTAGATTTTGAGTGAAATATTTTGGTTTCCTTAAAGATCATAATTCTCAAGTGAGATAAACCATGTAAAAGTGCTGCAACACCTCTAAAATAATAATATAATGAGAATTATTAAATTAAATTGCAGATGACATTGTTCATCCATGAATACACTCAAGAAACATTTACTGAATGTGCAACATATTCAAGACTCTGTGCTGGATACTCAGGAATAATACCAGCTCTCCTTTTAAGGGATTCACAAATTGATAGATAATACAATCATATATATAGCAGCTACAGTAGTGTGGTGTGAGGTCTTTGTGATATACGAAGGTATAGATGCGTAAAGATGGACTTTCACTGAGTAAAAACAAAATTTGTTTGCCTATTTTCACATAAAAATACTGTGGTTGAAGGTTTTAATTATTAGCTCCTATTTCCTGTCTGTAACGATTAATTTTATGGGTCAACTTGACTAGGCCATGGGATGCCTGGACATTTGGCTAAACATTATGTTGGGTGTGTCTGTGAGAGTTTCTGGATGAAAGATTAATATTTGAATTGTTAGACTGAGTAAAGGATATTATCCTCCCTAATGTGGATGGACCTGTTCCAATCATTTGTAGACCTGCATAGAACAAAAAGGCTAAGGAAGAAAGACCTCATGACCAATTATTGAAGCTAGGACATTAGTCTTTTCCAGCCTTTGCACTTGAACTGAAACATTGGCTCTTCTTGGGTCTCAATCCTGCCAGCCTTCAGACTGGAACTTACACTATCAGCTGTCCTAATTCTCAGCTTTCAGACTCAGCCTGAAACTACACAGTGGCACTCCCCGGACTCCAGCTTGTTGACTGGAGAGTTTTGAGACTTCTCACTCTCCATAATCATGTCAGTCAATCTGTATAATAAATCTCCTCTTCTCTCTGTCTCTCTCTCTCTCTCCACATGATTCTGTTTCTCTGGAGAACCCATATATCTTATTATGTCTTCTATCCAACTCCCCTACCCTTCCACTCTAGGGTCAGATTGTATTATATGACTGAATAGAAATTAAATATTCATAGTTCAGAAAAAAATTAAAGTATGTTACTTAGCAGGTGAGAGAGTTTAAAAAGAATGTGAGAAAAAATAATGTGAGTACCAGTTATTGAGCATGCTTGTCTGTTTTTTTTTCAACAAAATGGGTTGAGGCCCTATGTCATTCTCAGCTCTACTGCTTTATTAGTCCGTTCTCATGTTGCTGATAAAGACATACCCAAGACTGGGTAGTTTATAAAGGAAACAGGTGTTATTGACTCACAGTTCCACATGGCTGGGGAGGACTCACAATCATGGTGGAAGGCAAAGTGGGGGCAAAGGCATGTCTAACATGGTAGCAGGCGAGAGCACATGCAGGAAAACTGCCCTTTACAAAACCTTCAGATCTCGTGAGACTTATTAACTATCTCGGGAATAGCATGGAGAAAACCCACCGCCATAATTCAATTACCTCCCACCAGGTCCCTCCTACAACATGTAGGGATTATGGGAGCTACAATTCAAGATGAGGTTGGGGACACAGCCAAACCATATTAACTGATATCTTATAAACGAACCTCTCATTTGTACTTTTAGAAGAAATGATAACCTTTTATCTTTAACTTCAAAAGATATATAATATTCCTAATTTAGCTACCCCCAGGTAAAAATTACACAAAATCTGCTAAACTAACACTGATGTGAGAAACACTGACAAAACCTGTTAGTTTCTTAGTCATATTCTTTTATTATTATGTTTGTATTCACGGTTCAAAAGATGAAAAATGCAGAGTTTACAGCAGTGCCTGACGGAGAGATTCTTTGTCATTAGCAAAATAGTTTTAGTGGGTTGTAAAATCTTCGTGGCCAAATTGAATTCAGAAAAATTTTGACTTGCTCCTAGAAGCAATGATTAATTTTATTAGGGGGTGGGAAATGCTCCCAAGTTAGTCTGTTAGTCACAATGTCTAATTTCATGGAAAGGCTTAAAACCTTATAAGATATAAAAGCTTGGTTCATTGTGAATTATCAAACAATAATTAATGGCAACAAAACAAAAACAATACATTGTTGACTGTATATGGTGGGAAAGGTTAGGAAATACAGTTGTATCTAAAAAATATCGCCTAGAGTTAACCACTAAGCAGAATTTTCAAAGAGTTATTTCTCTCTGGGAGCTAATATCTGCAGAAATACGTTCAACACACATCTTTCTTGAATAACATGATGCTTTTGAGCATTAATTAAACTTAGAGTTTAAAATTGCTGTCAAAAAATGAGAAGAATAAATCATATAAAACTGAAGTTGCGAGAGAGAGAGAGAGAGTGAGAGAGTGAGGGATATCAGTGAAACCTTTGTGAAAAGGAGTGCTTCATTTATGCTTGATACCTGCCTTGTTAATCATTAAAAGAGAGAGAGAATGTGTGTGTGTGTGTGTGTGTGTGTGTGTGTGTGTGTGTGTGTTCATTATTCAAAGAAAAGAATAAGTATTGGACTGAAAATGTCTGAGTGACCTTAGTCACTGAAAATGTCTAGCTTTGGCTACACAATATCAATAGCTCTGGGAGCTCCAGAATTCTAATTGTCTGTCAGTCTTCATTAATGTTAGACTTAATTAATACAGAAATGCCAGTCTTTGCAGTTCTTTGCTTATAAACTTCAAATAATTATATGGACAACAAAGTTTATTCTTGAAAAAAGCCAAGAAGATTACTGTCTATAAGACAGGTAATTATTAGCTGTTGGCTTAATATATGTTAACATGTCATCATTTTATTAATAAATACATTTTTATGTCAACTGATATAATGCTATTTGCAAATGCTAAAATTACATATGATTATAAGACATTATGACTTTTAAGTATTCAGGGGAATATTTTAAAGAGTTATATGGCGTTGAATCACATTTATCTGTCTTCCAGGGTCTGATATTAAATGTAATTGAGAATATTTAGTGATTGTGGTTAGTCAACATAGAAAAAAGAGTGTGAGATAATTGGGAAGGTCTTTTTTTTAATCCCACACTTTAGGTAAACTAAATATTTTATCTAAATATTTATATGCAATTTTAAAAATGTATATTCATGTATGTCTGGAACAACTTATAGTTATATACTATTGCTATTAGTGTAGGAAATGTGATGGATTAGGAATAAAAAAGAGCAAGAAATTTAGTTTCTAAAAAACGTGTTTTATTTTTGCTTGATTTTAAAGTCATGATAGCATTTTTGCCAAAATCAGGAAATGTGAGTTCTTCAACATTTTTCTTTTTCAAGATTGTTGTAATTATTCATATTCCCTTGTATTTTTGTATTATTTTTAGGATCAGGTTGACACTTTATGCAACAACTGGTCACAGGATTTTGAAAGTGAATACACTGAATTTCTATAATAGTATGAGGAATATTGCTTTCTTTAAAATATTAAGTCACCTAACCCATGAACAGGGACGGTTTTCTTCTTAATATTTAGGCCTTCTTTAAATTTTTCAATGATGTTTTGTCATTTTTTTCAGGGTATAAAACTTGCACTTTGGAGTACGGAGAACTTCACCTTAAAACATGAGTCCCTGGTAAAATGAGCATTTTAAATTAAAGGCCCTTAGAGATCAACAGAAGCTGGAAGAGACTTTTCGCTATCTATATAAAGACTGCTCTCCAACAATTATTGAAGTATCTATTTCTACATTCAACTCTGTCACTTTTATTTTACATTTTTGAGGACCATTATTTTGTACATATGTGGTTATAATTTTTACACCTTCAGGATGAATTGATCCCTTTTTACTTCAAAATATCCTTCTTGTGTCTAGAAGACATTTTAAGTCTATTTTGCATGATTATACTATAGCCACTCCAGCTCTGTTTTGAGCACTGTTTACATGGTATATCTTTTTACATCTCTTTCATTCAATTGATTGTGTCATTGAATTTCAATTCTATCTTTTGTAATAATAGTAATATATTGGGCTGCTTTTTAAATTGACTCGGTCATCCATACCTTAGAATTGGAGGCTGAGTATGGTGGCTCACACCTATAATTCCAGCACTTTGAGAGGCCGAGGCAGGCGGATCACCTAAGGTCTGGAGTTCGAGACCAGCCTGGCCAACATGGTGAAATCCCGTCTCTACTAAAAATACAAAAATTAGCCAGGTATGATGGTGCACGCCTGTAATCCCAGCTACTTGGGAGGCAGAGGCAGGAGAATCTCTTGAACCTGGGAGGTGGAGGTTGCAGTGAGCTGAGACCACACCGTTGCACTCCAGCCTGGGCAACAGAGTGAGACTCTGTCTCACAAAAGAAAAAAAAAAAAAAAGGAGTGGTCAGTCCATTTACAGAATGTAGTTACTGAGTTACTGATAAGGTAAGATTTAAGTCGGCCAGTTGCTGTTTACTGTATATGTTTTATGTATTCTGCTCCTCTTTTTTTTTTTTTTTTTTGATGAAGTCTCGCTCTGTCGCCTAGGCTGGAGTGCAGTGGTACGATCTCGGCTCACTGCAAGCTCCACGTCCCGGGTTCACTCCATTCTCCTGCCTCGGCCTCCCGAGTAGCTGGGACTACAGGTGCCCGCCACCACGCCCAATTAATTTTTTTGTATTTTTAGTAGAGACGGGGTTTCACCGTGTTAGCCAGGATGGTCTCGATCTCCTGACCTCGTGATCTGCCCGCCTCGGCCTCCCAAAGTGCTGGGATTACAGGCGTGAGCCTCCGCGCCCGCCACACCAGGCCTTGCTCCTCTTTTTATTACTGCCTCTTTTGTGTTGAATAGATATTTTCTAGTATAGTTCTTTTTTTTTTTACTGAATATTTTAACATCATATTATTGATATCTGCTATAGGAATTACAATTGGCATCTTAATTTACAAACACAGCAAAAGAAAAATTTTGATTTTTAATTTTTTAAATAATTTAATGTGGCAACTTGGAAAATCAAACACCACTACCACCCAAGATATGTTGGGCTTTGCTGCTTCTTGTTGTTGTCCATTCTGTTTACTTCTTTAGTGACTTTCCTGCACTACTTCTGTGAAGTCCGTATCCTATGTCATTTGAGGCCACTGAAATCTCTGCTTGGTTAGTTTTGTTATTTGGCTAGTAATTAAACAGAGATTTTATTAAATGCCATTAGCCAATAAATCTCCCAGTCTTTGCCTAGGAGTTCCATGTGTGTGTGTTGGAGTACATTAGCATCAACTGGTAATGCCATCTCAGGCAGCATCAGTGTTAAACAATTGTCCCTGGTTGTTTGCCACAGATTCCTTGAGGATAGATCTATTTCCACAGAGTGAGCTCTTAGAGTCAGCTCAAATAATAGAGCTTTTCAGCAATCTACCAGTCAGGTCAAATAGTGACAATTCCTTGGGGGTTAGGCTTTTGTGGAGCTTCAAATCTTTTATTCATCCTCCAGTAGCTACTATAATGTTGGTTTTCATAGCTACCATAGTTGTGAGGGTATTGGCTTTCAAAGCCACTGACGAGCTGGAGAGAGCAGAATGGGATTAGGGAAAGTTAAAATATATAACACTCACTCTTTTTACTGAGATTCGGCTGTCTTTGTTTCTTTAAATACATATCTTTCAGATGGTTTCAAACATATAGCAATTTTCAGTGTTCTAAAAATGTTAATTTTGACAGTTTTTGTTAGTGTTCTTATTGTTTTTATGAAAAAGCAGATTTCAAATGTCTTTGCTCCACCATTCCAGATCATTCTTTTATTTTTGCAGTTTTTGTTATCAAAGTTCACTAAATTTCTTGGCCCAAAAATATAGGCAAGTAGCAACTAAATATAGAGTAAAAATGTTATGATATGAGCAAAATGTTCAACTATTCCAAATGGGCTGAGTGAAAATAGGTTTTCTGAGCATCCATTTACATTGGCCAGGCATAGTGGCTCATGCCTATAATTCCAGCATTTGGGAGGCTGAGGCAGGAGGATCATTAAAGGACTAGAGTTAAAGACAAGCCTGGGCAACATGGTGAGACCCTATCTCTAAAAAAAATTTAAAAATTAGCTGGCCATGGTGAAATGTACCTGTAATTGTAGCTACTCAGGAGGCTGAAGTGGGAGGATTGCTTAAGCCCGGGAGTTTGCAGCTGCAGTGAGCTGTTATTGCACCACTGCACTCCAGCCTGGGCAACAGAGCAAGACCCCATCTCTAAAATAAAGAAATAAAAAGGTAGAAAAATATCAGAGTTGGTGGAAAGAGGGACTAAGAGAGGTGCAAATGTACACTTAAAATCCATGCATTTCCTTGTATGTAAATTGTATATCTAAATATTGAAATATAGTAGTGATATGTGTTCTAAAGTAATTAGATAAAAATATGTTAGTGTCTGCAATGTACTTGAAATGTGTTCAAAATCAGGTGGATTCACAGATACACAAAGGAATTGATAGGTATGAAAACACAAAAACAACAAAATAACAAGCTTAGTAAAGTTAATAATACACAGGTATTCATTGTAAAATCTCTTAAATTGGCATTATTTTTGAAAAATATCTTAATAAAATATTGTGAGTAAAAACTTCTCTTCAGACAGATATTAGTTTGAAACATAATTTTAAAAAAACAGCATCACAATAGAAATGACTAGTATTTTTCCAGAGTTAAGAAACTTTAGAAACATTGATAGAAAGCTAAAAAGATAAAAGCCAATCTTTGTCAAAGGGGCTCAGCTAAAATCCTTCAGGAATTGAGGAAATGTTTTTTTTAAAAAAGCTACATCTCTCTTAATCTGCGAGAAGAGAAATTAGTACCATTTACAGCTTTATATAGGTGACATCTTAAAGGTTTCTCTGTAATAGAATGAAAACATGAAACACTGCTTTCCATTTTTTAGTACCATTTCTGTAAACGTAAGAGAAGTAGTAGATGAATCAGATACCAAACTTTTATGAGACCAGTGAACACAATGGTTTAGTTCAAAACTATTTAAAGATAAAATTGGTTCATAGGAATTCTGTGAGGTGAAAATTGTACATAACAGCATCAAAATGCGATCCCATTAGTGTACACTGAGAGCATCTTCTTTCTCCTAGAAACTTAACTAGCCCACAGTTTAAAATTTAATATACAATATAAAGTCTTTTCATCCAGACCAGATTATTTGCCTATCTTTTGCAGAACTGCTAGATTGTTATTTAATGTGATTGCGTGACACAAAGCCTGGATATACATGGTAAAATATGTATCAGCAGTCGCCACTACAGCAGAATCTATTACATAATTGGAAGCATAAAGTAGAGCCTTTAGAGTTGAGAGGAAGAAACTGAATGGCTGGCTCATCACGCTGTTTAACAAAGCAGGTATCAAGGCTGTAGGCAGTAACACACTGACATCACAAGTCATCCAAACTGTGTGGATCTCTATACCTAAGAGAGCAAATGGAGCCCAGATACACAAGGCTGTTTGAGTGCTATTTAATCACCTTAGGAGATGTCGGTACTGTGTTTATCTTGCTCTCTTTTATGGACAAATAGGAACTCTTAGCACAATAAATGTGCTGAATCTCTACCGATAGAGGAGAGAGGAAAAAAAAAAAAGAACTTTGTGATAACCGGAAAAGACATGTTAATACCTAGTATCCAGTACAGAACCAGGCGTATAGTAGTGACTCAGGCATGTTTGCTAATTAAATAAAGACATAAATGAATTAATGTGTTTTATAAGCACAATTTTATGGAATATAGATTATTTGGAAAAGATCTATTCTGGATTGTATTCAGAATGCCAAACTTCATGATGGTAGGTCTCAAGAAGCCTGCAGTCTACCAGGGAAAATGAAATATTACAAGTCTCTATACTGCAGTCAGAAATGGTAGGAACTATGTGAGAGATACAATCTGAGTGCTACTAAAGCTTCAGAGAAGCTATGGTCATCTTGGCAAACTTTGTGGATTCATTTGCATTTGGAAGAATGCTAAACTATTAGTAAAAGGAAATAAAGATAGGAAATTTAGGGTGTGATCAGTAAATTTAGGTGAAACAATAGGAATGGAATGAACTTAAAACATGATTTTTAAAATGACTGTATTATTTACATATAAAAGTCAATAGTTCAATGAAGTTTGATATGCTTATACAGTCATATTTCCACCACCACAATAATGATACAGATAATTTTCATCACTTGTAATAGTTTCCTTATGCTCTATATTATTACTCTATTGCCACAAAAACAGATTACTATAAAATAGGTGGCTTCACACACAAATGTATTCTCTTATATTTCTAGAGATCAGAAATAAAAACTCAGTCTTATGGGAATGAAATCGAAGTGTTGCAGGGCTGGTTTCTTCTGAAGACTTCAGGGGGAAATGTGTGGCTTCCCTATTGCAGTTTCTAGAATTTATCAGCATTCTTAAGTTTGTGGCCACAGCACTAGCACTGGTAGTTGCCACCAAAGCAGAACCTTTAAATGAGGGAAAGTTGGGTCACCTTGAGAAAGGACCAGAGTACACTACTAAAAATCTTTACTGTTAACCTTTCTCCCAGCCTTTCCCAAAAGACCTATGGCTTTTTTTTATCAGGGTAGCTATGTACTGGGGAAAAGGAAAAATCAATCTTTGAAGGATTGCTGGATATTGACTCTAAATTGACATTGATTTTAGGAGATTCTAGGAGCCATTTGTGGCCCACCAGTCAAGACAGGGGCTTATGAATGTCACATTATCAATGGAGTTTTAGCTCAGGTCAATTGCACAGGTGTCCAGTGGGTTCGTGAAACCATCTGACGGTTGTTTCTCCAGTTCTATAATGTATAATCAGAATAGATATACACAGCAGCTTGCAAAATTCTTACATTGGTTCCCTGACTGGTGGAGTGAGGGTATTATGGTGAAAATGAAGTGAAAGCCACTAGAACTGCCTCTTGCTAGGGAAATAGTAAATCAAACGCAATAATACATTTTGGAGGGATTAAAAAGATTAGTGTGCTACCATGAGAAGTTTGAAGGATGCAGGAGTGGTGATTCCCACTATATCCCCGTTCAGTTTGCTTATTTAGCCTTCACAGAAGACAGAGAGATCTTTGGAAATAACAGTGGATTGTTGTGAGTGCATGCAGAAGGTGGCTACAATTGCAGTCACTGTGCCAGATGTAGTTTCATTTCTTGAGCAAATTAACACATCCCATGTTACCTCGAATACAGCTATTAATCTGGCAAATTCCTTTTTCTCTATCACTGTCAATAATGCCCAGCAGAGGCAGCTTGCTTTCAGCTGGCAAGGGCAGCAACATACCTTCACTGTTCCACCTCAGGGGTGTATCAATTCTCCAGCCTTATGTTGTCACTTAGTTTGCAAGGATTTTTATTGCCTTTCCTTCCACAAGAACTCACACTGGTATATTAAACTGATGACATTATGCTGATTGGATACAGTGAATAAAAAGTACTGACTACTCTAGGACAATTGTATGTCAAAAAGTAAGAAATATATGTGAGTAAAATTCAGGAACAGTCTACCTAATTAAATTTCTATGGGCCCAGTGATGTGGGGCATGTTGTGATATCTCTTCTAAGGTAAAAAATAAGTTATTGCATCTGGCCCCTGCTACAACCAAAAAAGAGGAACAATGCCTAGAAGGTCTCTTTGGATTTTGGAGGTAATATAATTCGTATTTAGCTATGTTTCTCTGGCCCATTTACCAAGTGACCCAACAAGCTGCTAGTTTTGAGTCGGGTACAGAAGATGAAAAGGCTCTGCCACAGGTCCAGACTCCTGTGCAAACTGCTGTGCTGTTTGGGCTATATGACCCAGCACATCCAACAGTACTTGAAGCGTCAGTGGCATATAGAGGTGCTACTTGGGGCCTTTGGTAGCTTTCACATATGAGTAGAAGTGAAGACCCCTAGGATTTTGGATTAATACCCTGCTGTCTTCTTCAGATTACTATACTATTGAGAAGCTGCTTTTTGTGTCCTCTTTGGCCTTAATAGAGCATGAATACTTAACCATGGGTCATCAAGTTACTACCCATCATTAACTGGGTATTATCTGACAAACCACTTAGTTAAACATGTACAGAAGCATGCCATCATCAAACAAAAGTGGTATATACATGACCTGGGCTCAAGCAGGCCCTGAAAGTACAAGTAAGTTACATCATGTGGTCCAAATGCCCATGGTCTTCATTCCTCCTATATTGCCCTCCCCCTTAGCCTGCACCTATGGCCTCTTGGGGAGTTTCTCAAGAGTTCACACACAAATGTATGCTCATATTTCTAGAGGTTAGAAATCCAAAGTCAGCCTTATCAGAATAAAATCAAAATGCTGTAGGGCTGGTTTCATCTGAAGACTTCAGGGGAAATCAATTAGTCAACAGAGGCAGAGAAGATTTGGGCTTGCTGAACAGATGGTTCTGCATGATATACAGGCACCACAAGGTAGACAGCTGCAGCACAAAAGCCCTTTCTGGGATATTCCTGAAGGACAGTGGTAAATAAAAATCCTCTCAGTAATCAGAAACTCAAACATTGCACCTGGTTGTTCACTTTGCCTAGAAATAGAAATGGCCAGACATGCAATTAGACTCTGATTCATAAGCTATGGCCAATAATTTGGGTGGATGGCCAGGGACTTGAAAGAAACATAATTGGGAAATTGGTGATAAGAAAATTTATGAAAAAGTATGAGGATAACCTTTCTGGAAGGGGAAAAACTAAAGATATTTTTGTCTGATGTGAATATTCACAAAATAATAACCTCACCATCTTGAATTAATTTTTGTATAAGGTGTAAGGAAGGGATCCAGTTTCAGCTTTCTACATATGGCTAGCCAATTTTCCCAGCACCATTTATTAAATAGGGAATCCTTTCCTCATTTCTTGTTTTTGTCAGGTTTGTCAAAGATCAGATGGTTATAGATGTGTGGTATTATTTCTGAGGGCTCTGTTCTGTTCCATTGGTCTATATCTCTGTTTTGGTACCAGTACCATACTGTTTTGGTTACTGTAGCCTTGAAGTATAGTTTGAAGTCAGGTAGCATGATGCCTCCAGGTTTATTCTTTTGGCTTAGGATTGCCTTGGCAATGCAGGCTCTTTTTTGGTTCCATAAGAACTTTAAAGTCATTTTTTTCCAATTCTGTGAAGAAAATCATTGGTAGCTTGTTGGGGATGGCATTGAATCTATAAATTACCTTGAGCAGTATGACCATTTTCACCATATTGATTCTTCCTATCCATGAGCATGGAATGTTCTTCTATTTGTTTGTGTCCTCTTTTATTTCATTGAGCAGTGGTTTCTAGTTCTGCTTCAAGAGGTCCTTCCCATCCCTTGTAAGTTGGAATCCTAGATACTTTATTCCTTTGAAGCAATTGTGAATGGGAGTTCACTCATGATTTGGCTCTCTGTTATTGGTGTATAAGAATGCTTGTGATTTTTGCACATTGATTTTGTATCCTGAGAGTTTGCTGAAGTTGCTTATCAGCTTAAGGAGATTTTGGGCTGAGACGATGGGGTTTTCTAGTTATACAATCATGTCATCTGCAAACAGGGACAATTTGACTTCCTCTTTTCCTAATTGAATACCCTTTATTTCTTTCTCCTGCCTGAATGCCCTGGCCAGAACTTCCAACACTATGTTGAATAGTATCAGGGAACCTGCCCTGATAGTCACATAGGTTCTTTTCTATTTTCCCTAAGTGTCTGCCAGTTTGAGAAATAAAGGGACAGAGTACAAAAGAGAGAAATTTTAAAGCTGGGCATCCGGGGGAGACATCACATGTCGGTAGGTTCTGTGATGCCCCACAAGCTGCAAAACCAGCAAGTTTTTATTAGGGACTTTCAAAAGGGGAGGGAGTGTATGAATAGCGTGTGGGTCACAAAGATCACATACTTCATAAGGTAATAGAATATCAGAAGGCAAATGGAGGCAGGGAGAGATCATAGGACCACAGGACCGGGGTGAAATTAAAATTGCTAATGAAGTTTCAGGCACCGTTGTCATTGATAACATCTTATCAGGAGACAGGGTTTGAGAGCAACCAGTCAGACCAAAATTTATTAGGTGGGAATATCCTCTTCCTAATAAGCCTGGGAGTGCTATGGGAGACTGGGGTTTATTTCATCCCTAGAGTTTCAACCATAGAAGATGGCCACACCGAAAGGGGCCATTTTAGAGACCCACCCTTAGGGGCGTATTCTCTTTCTCCGGGATGTTCCTTGCTGAGAAAAAGAATTCAGCCATATTTCTCCCATTTGCTTTTGAAAGAAGAGAAATATGGCTCTGTTCCGCCTGGTTCACTGGCGGTCAGAGTTTAAGGTTACCTCTCTTATTCCCTGAACAATTGCTGTCATTCTGTTCTTTTTTCAAGGTGCCCAGATTTCATATTGTTCAAACAAACATGCTCTACAATTTGTGCAGTTAACACAATTGTCAGAGGGTTCTGAGGTGACATACATCCTCCTCAGCTGACAGGATTATGAGATTAAAGTAAAGACATGCCTAGGAAATCACAAGGGTATTGATTGGGGAAGTAATAAATGTCCATGAAATCTTCACAATTTATGTTTAGAGATTGCAGTAAAGGCAGGCATAAGAAATTATAAAAGTATTAATCTGGGGAACAAATAAATGTCCATGAAATCTTCACAATCCATGTTCTTCTGCCATGGCTTCAGCCGGTCTCTCTGTTTGCAGTCCCTGACTTCCCACAACAGAATAGGAGTGGTGAGAGAGGGCATCAGTGTCTTGTGCCAGTTTTCAAAGGGAATGCTTCCAGTTTTTGCCCATTCAGTATGATATTGGCAGTGGGTTTGTCATAAACAGCTCTTATTATTTTGAGATACGTCCCATCAATACTTAATTTATTAAGAGTTTTTAGCATGAAGGGCTGTTGAATTTTGTCAAAGGCCTTTTCTGCATCTATTGAGATAATCATGTGGTTTTTGTCTCTGGTTCTGTTTATATGCTGGATTATATTTATTGATTTGCATATGTTGAACCAGCCTTGCATCCTAGGGATGACACCCTCTTGATCATGGTGGATAAGCTTTTCCATGTGCTGCTAGATTCAAGATGGATTAAAGACTTAAATGTTAGACCTCAAACCATAAAAACCCTAGAAGAAAACCTAGGCAATACTATTCAGGACATAGGCATGGGCAAGGAATTCATGTCTAAAATACCAAAAGCAATGGCGACAAAAGCCAAAATTGACAAATGGGATCTAATTAATCTAAAGAGCTTCTGCACAGCAAAAGAAACTACCATCAGAGTGAACAGGCAACCTACAGAATGGGAGAAAATTTTTTCAATCTATTCATCTGATAAAGGGCTAATATCCAGAATCTACAAGGAACTCAAACAAATTTACAAGAAAAAAATAAACAACCCCATCAAAAAGTGGGCGAAGGATATGAACAGGTACTTCTCAAAAGAAGACATTTATGCAGCCAACAGACACATGAAAAAATGCTCATCATCACTGGCCATCAGAGAAATGCAAATCAAAACCACAATGAGATACCATCTCACACCAGTTAGAATGGCAATCATTAAAAAGTCAGGAAACAACAGGTGCTGGAGAGGATGTGGAGAAATAGAAACACTTTTA
Source organism: Homo sapiens (assembly GCF_000001405.40). NCBI lineage: Eukaryota > Metazoa > Chordata > Mammalia > Primates > Hominidae > Homo > Homo sapiens. Next base: position 86,132,981 of record NC_000003.12, read on the forward strand.
CACTGTTGGTGGGACTGTAAACTAGTTCAACCATTGTGGAAGACAGTGTGGTGATTCCTCAAGGATCTAGAACTAGAAATATCATTTGACCCAGCCATTCCATTACTGGGTATATACCCAAAGGATTATAAATCATGCTGCTATAAAGACACATGCACACGTATGTTTATTGCGGCATTATTCACAATAGCAAAGACTTGGAACCAACCCAAATGTCCAACAATGATAGACTGGATTAAGAAAATGTGGCACATATACACCATGGAATACTATACAGCCATAAAAAATGATGAGTTCATGTCCTTTTAGGGACATGGATGAAGCTGGAAACCGTCATTCTCAGCAAAGCATAGCAAGGAGAAAAAACCAAACCCCGCATGTTCTCACTCATAGGTGGGAATTGAACAATGAGAACACTTGGACACAGGAAGTATGTCCACACACTGGGGCCTGTTATGGGATGAGGGGAAGGGGGAGGGATAGGATCAGGAGATATACCTAATGTAAATGACAGTTAATGGGTGCAGCACACCAACATGGCACATGTATACATATGTAACAAATCTGCACGTTGTGTATGTGTACCCTAGAACTTAAAGTATAATAAAAAAGAAGAAGAAGAATCTCACCAGAGGGGAGTTTTTTTAAATGAAAGTGATAGAATGAATGACCCATTTTGTGCATAGCAGTCAAACTCTTTCACTAGACACTTTTGTCATTGCCTATTGGACTCACAAAGTGACTATGATGGCAAGGATCTTTGTCATGCATGGGCCCAGTCAAACGGACTTCCACTTACCAAGGCTTTCCTTTTGTTCCCAACTTGCCAGAAGCAGCAAAACCCAACACTGAGTCCCCAGTATGTTGATATTCCCCATGGTGATAGACCAGTTACTTGGTGACAGGTAAGCTATATTAGACATCTTTCATTAGGTAAGGGGTGCATTTTGTTCTTAATGGAGTTGATACAGTCATGTATCACTTAATGTAGGGCATACACTCTGAGAAATGGGTCATTAAGCAATTTCACTGTTTTGTGAACACAAACCTAGGTAGTATAGCCTACACTCCTATTCTACAGGGTATAGCCTATTGCTCCTATGCTACAATCTTGTACAGCACATCACTGCAGTGAATACTGTAGGCAAATGTAACACAATGTTAACTATCTGTGTGTCTAAACATAGAAAATATACAGTAAAAGTACAGTATAAAGATTTTAAAAATGGTGCACCAATTTAGGACCCTTACCATGAATGGAGCTTGCAAGACTGGAAGTTTCCTGGATGTGCCATGAGCAATGAGTGAATGTGAAGGCCTAGGACATTATTATATAACCACTGTAGACTTTAAAAACACTGTCCACACAGGCTACACTAAATTTATTAATACTTTTTCTTCAATAATATATTAACCATATCTTACTATATCTTTTTCATCTAATACATATTTTAATTTTTTAAATTTTGTGACTCCTTTTATAACAACACTTCAGACACAAAAACAATGTAAAGCTGTACAAAAATATCTTATTTCTTTACAGTCTTATTCTATGAGCTCTTTACTATTTTTAATATATATATATTTTTACTTTTTTGCTAAAAACACACACAGTAGTCTAGGCCAACACAGGGTCAGGATCATCAATATTACTGTCTTCCACCTCCACATCTTGTCCCACTAGAAGATCTTCAGAGACAATAACACACATGTAGCTATCATCTCCTATGATAATAACGCCTTCTGGAATGCCTTTTGAAGAAAGTGCCTGGGGCTTTTTTTGAAGTAGGAGTGTAGTCTAAACTAGAGATAAAAATACAGTACAGTAAATACATAAACCAATAATATAGTCTTTTATTATCAAGTATTATACACTGTACATAACTGTACATGCTATGCTTTTATATGACTGGCAGCACAGTAGGTTTGTTTACACCAGCATCACCCAACATGTGACTAATACATGGAGCTATGATATTATAATGGCTACAATATCACTAGACAGTAGGAATTTTTAAGCTTCATATAATCTTTTGGGACCACCATCATGTATGCAGTCTGTCGTTGATTGAAACATTGTTTTACAGTGCATGACTCACTTTCTCCTTCTCTCTCCATACACATACACACACACACCCCTAGCATAAATATATATATATAGCATATATTTCTAGCATATATACATATAGAATGTATATATTATATATCTTGAATGTACAATAAATACATTTCTCATTGACTTCATGCAGAGTTAAAAGGAATAGTGTTCAGTGTTGGTAGGGTGATAAAAACACAAAACAATATCAGAAGATGGGGTGGGGAAGGAAAACAAATATCTGATAGGAAGTCCAGTTTCCAAAGGACTTTGGACATGTTTTGCACGTGTATTTGTTTTGCATGTATTTACTATTTTATTGTCTATATATATAGAAGACCACATAGGAAATTGATATTTGTGATAGTGGATTTGTTAATAATACTTTCTACATGACATTAATATTTAAATTGTAAACAGATTTTTCCCTCAGGATTAGTTTGAAAAATAATCTGAATTGTTATCTTAACATCCATATATAACAGCCATTGATATCTTCAATAATATATTAACCTTATCTTACTATATCTTTTTCATCTTATACATTTCTTAATTTTTGTGTCCTGTAGTAAAAATTATTCTACTCTAAAAAGAAAAAAGGTTTATGGTGGCAAATTATATTTATTTTATTTTATAAAAAAAAGTACCATGCACTTTTGTGTAAACACTGAAAAATCTCTGGTCATCTCTGAGAATTAAATTAGAACTTTTTTCTATAGTGCTGTCACCTTGGGCAATGGGCAATTACAGGAATTTGTGTTTGTTTCCTTTGCAGTTTTTTTTTCTTCCCCTTTGTTCCTAATAGAAAAACAAAACAAAGAAAGGTCACCCACGTCTGGTCTCATTCCTGTTGCAGTGAAACTTCAAGTTGCACAGACTTTGCATGCCATCTACGCTAACTCTGTGTATTGCGTGTGCCTGTGTTTCTCGTCTTTTTTTTAAATTCGTGCTTCACTACTGTGGGAGAGAATAACTGTAAAGAGCTTTAATTAAATCATACTTATGAAAAGCTATTTTTCTATATTCCACTTTATGGTTTTGGTTTGTTGATCTTTAAAAATTAAATGGTCTTTGATAATGAATCTATTTTGCATTGCCTTATTAAGACCAAATACTTCTTGTAATCCCATTCTTTATCCTCTTTTTTCATGGAATTGTTGTCATTAATTAAAACTTTTTTAAACATTAAAACAAACACATATATAGCTAGAGATATGTATATCTCTTGAATATATGTTTATCTAGTGATATATATGTATATAGCATATCTAGCATGTTTATCTATTTGCTATTTTGACTCCTGTACAATAAAAATTTTATTGGAAGGTCTCATTTCTAGTAGTTTTCTAACACCTCTTTTCTTGATCTCATGATTATTATATTTTTATTTGTTGAAATGTTTTAGATCATGCTATATGTATCTATACATACACATAGATATATATGCTAAATATGCATACCTAAATATATAGACTTTTAAATAAATATATAAATATTTGTATAAATATAGAGAGCATGTATACAGATATGTATATATATATGCTAGATCTGTAAATATATATATACGCACACACACATATACGTGTGTGTGTGTGTGTGTTTATATTAGGTCTGTATATATGAAGAAACAGAGAGAGAGAGTGAGAGAGAGAAATTTATTATCAGGAATCAGCTTACATGATTATGGAGACTGAGGAATTCCACAATATGCCATCTGGAAGTTGGAGATCCAGGAAGGTCAGTGGTATGGTTCAGTGAAAGTCCAGAGGCCTGAAATTGGGATAGTCAATAGAATTTCTGGAATTTCTATTTGTCAGATAAAGAAACTCCTAACTTCACTCTTTGTATTTTCTCTCTATTTAACTCACTTTCTAAGAAATTTCATTGCATTTATCTTCCTTCTCTTTTACTGCATCTTAAAATTAATTTCTTACATCATAATTTTAATTTTCACTAGTCTTCTTATGAATGTTAATTGTCAGAGGGGAGAGTTATATTAACCTGTGGGTTTTGTATTTAAGGAAATTGTGCAGAGACTGGAGTACAGTTTATGCCCAACATGGATAACATGATAATTTTGCCATTATCATTAAATTAAACCTTTCTGGAAACTTCTAATCTCTTGTCTGGTAGAAAGATGCCATAAAGCTGTCAGGGCATGGAAAATCATTCTTCTAATAATTAGACATTTAAATAATTCTGATTCTCAACCCCCAGTCATGACTCTTCTGCTATCCAACATTCCTTACATTGCTGAGTTTTAAGCCTTCGGGAGTTCAGGAGAAAATACAACTCCTTCTGGTTCATACCCACATCTGAAAGCACATTAGTCTGCAATTTATTCTATTTATTATTTTCTCCTCCTCCTGCACAGTCAAAATTTTATTGGAACATCTCATTTCTAGGAGTTTTCTAACATCTGTATTCTTGATCTTATCATGATTATGTTTTTATTTATTGCAATGTTTTAGATCATTTTATTTTTATCTCAAAATAGAAGGCCAATTAATGGATTTGTTATTGTTTTCTGTAACTCTACAAAAACTCTTACCGTGAATCAGTGAGAGCAAATGTTGTTTTGAAGGTTAAAACAATCTAAAATTACAAATTATAAATGACAATCACACTCCTATCCTTATAGTTATCCAGTTTATATTATTTTACAGTTTCCAAAAATTCTAACTCATTTAAGTTTTTGGAAATAGTACGTTTCAAAAAGTCATAGTGTCGCTTTAAGTACTTTTAAAATTTCAGTTAATGAAAACTAAAACTCCCATTCAGAAGACTGAATGAAAGTAGAGGAAATACAGTTACAAACTGAATCACGAGTAATGCATAATGATTTTTAAAATTTCTTTTCAAAATAGGAAAATACAGAAAGGAATAAACCACAATTTACATAAGAATTATATACTTTTGGAATCTTCACAGCAATAGAAGAAATGAGCAAAATTAATTTATTTAAAAATTATATATAGTATCATTATTCTACCTGTTACCTATTCAGTTATTCATGCACACTTGACTCTCATGTGATGAGGGAAATGTAATGATTGATCTTGACTCTTGCATATTTAATTGTAGATGAGGTGTGTGACCTATGGCACTATATCTGCTAGTACAATTTTATGAGTAAATTTGCAGTACATTAAGGCAAAGAAAAAAATGACACATTTACACAATTCCAAGCTTAATTCCAGAGACAGAAAGAAAAACTTTCATTCTGATGAAGATTCTACAAAGAGTAAACCAGTCTGTGACAACGTATTAGTGCTGTAAAATCTGCTAAAATTTGGTAATATGCACACTTGAGTGTCTCATAACATTTTATCAAAAATAAATTTATTCCCTAAATACAGAATGTTTAAAACCACTTTTCACAATATTGGATTTCTGAAAATATAGCTTCTAATTTTCTTATCTAAATAAACTTAAAAGACTTTTAAAATTGAATGCATATTGTCTTCAAAATATATGCTTGAAGGTAATAAGTTGTCCCTCCTATTATGCATTTGAACTCACAGTTTCCTATATATTACCTGAGGTAATGAGACATATTCAGAAAGCGTATGGCAAGCTTTAGTTCATATTTCATAATAATTTTTAAAGTGGATCTTTACATGGCTTATACACTGAAATTCTAAATTTGAGAAGGAAAAAACTAGAATACATAATAACAAAATTTGAAATGTCAACTGTATTTTGGTGGGATAGAATACTTTACTTAATATTCCACGGTTTCTCCTACTAGAATTTCTTCCTATTTCCTACTCTCTAGACTCACATGGTCTACTGCCTCTGTAGTTCTCTGCATACCTAACCCATCCCCACACCCACCCCAAGCCCTTCTCATTCCTTAGTTTTTATGTCTGGAATACACTGCATTCATTTAAGAGACTGGCTTTCTCTCTGTTCAATTCCCTATCTCAGGAGATAATCTTAGTAGCCCCACCGCTGTTGAGTGTCCTTTCTTGGTACCATCAGCTCTGCATAGGCACCTCATATAAAGAGGGCTGCTGAGGTGCCCTACTGTGGAGTGGCAGCTGGTAGCTGATAAGTGAGCAGTGAATAGTTGTAGTTATTAGAGAAAGAGAAACAACATTTATCAGAGAACGTGATTCTGTAGCAGAAATAAACAGAAATGGAAGATAGATCCTATGTTTAACTATTAACAAGTGATTTAATAACTTCTTACTTTTTTATAAGAATTTGGTCAGTGCTATTTGGCACTTTTTCCAACAAGCTTTCAAATGCACAAATTATTTTGGCTTACCCACTGATATGATTAGGCTTTGTGTCCCCACCCAAATCTCACCTTGAATTATAATCCCCATAATTCCCACATGTCAAGGGAGAGACAAGATAGAGGTAATTGGATCATGAGGGCGGTTTCCCCCATGCTGTTCTCATGATAGTGAGTGAGTTCCCACAAGATCTGATGGTTTTATATATAAAGGGCTCTTCCCCCTTCACTCAGCACTTCTCCTTCCTGTTGCCTTGTGAAGAAGGTGTCTTGCTTACCCTTCGTCTTCCACTATGATTGTAAGTTTCCTGAGGCCTCACCAGCCATTCTGAACTGAGTCAATTAAACCTCTTTCCTTTATAAATTACCCAGTCTCAGGCAGTTCTTTATAGCAACATGAAAATGGACTAATACACCCACCATAAAAAAAATTACTCTAAGGCCGGGCAGAGTGGCTCACACCTGTAATCCCAGCATTTTGGGAGGCCGAGGCAGGCGGATCAGCTGAGGTCAGGAATTCGAGACCAGCCTGGCCAACATGGTGAAACCTCGTCTCTACTAAAAATACAAAATTAGCCATCTGTGGTGGTACACATCTGTAATCCCAGCTACTTGGGAGGCTGAGGCAGGAGAATGACTTGAACTCGGGAGGCAGAGGTTGCACTCCAGCCTGGGCAAAAAGAGCAAAACTCCACTCAAAAAAAAAAAAAAAATGCTCCAATATTGAATTGTTCTGGTATCTTAAAGAGCTCATCTGAAATTGACTCTGATTATTTTGAATTTTTAAGTTTTCATATTAAATGAGGTTGAATTCAAGTTAAAACAATAATGAATCAAGAGTGAACCACATGCTTTCATGCTAGGTAATGAAAGTAATTACCAAGGTTGTATTAGGAGCAGCTTTTGATAATATTAGTCACCCCCTTGTAGTATAGTTAATACCCTAGCTAGGAAAGGAAGAGCAAAGAAATAAAATTATAATAATATACTAAATTCTCATCAGTGTTGGGCTTGAAGGATTTAGGTGGAGCTTACACAAAATCAGCCTGTAGACAGTTATGAGGTTGGAAAATACAATATTATGTATGAATGAGATGTTACAGAAGCAAAGAACATTGGAACAACAGACATGATGGACTTTAGGAATACTGCACAAATAAATAAAAACTCTAAATCTGGATTTTTTTAACTTGGATATTTGACTAAGGGCCTGTAGAGCTCAATTAATATGTAAGGTTTCAGTAAATTATCCATAAGATGGATGATATAAAAATATTACCCCAATAGAATTTTTAGAAATTATTTTTCAAATAAGCTAATCGCAAATGGATTAACTTGCGGTCAAGGCTTACTATTTAGGGATAAATCCATATAGTGTAGGCATAAAGTTGGCCTTCTGGCATTTTAAATTTGATCAATACATGCTACTTTAATAATCTTCCTGTTACAGGGACCAGTGGTTGTGAATTTCAATGTTAAAGCATCTATTATAGAGTTCATATTAGAGTTTTCACTAAGAGACTAACATCAAATATTTTCAGTGTAAAATATTGGGATACCTTGTTGCTAAAAAACAGATATATCTGAATGCTAAAAGTATCAGTATCAGAGACAGGGTTAATGTAAGAGACATTTCTTTTGTGATCTCCTTGGTTATTGTAACCCTTGATTCTTTTGGAGGAATACTTTCCCTCCTTTGAGTCTCGAATACTTTTATGTGCCTTTTTTGCATATTGCAACAGAAAATGCTTTCACATATTGTACAATGGTAATTTGATAGTCTGTTTTCTCCCCTAAGTGCTGACTTACCTTTGACAAAACATGCCTAGTATAGCATTCCAGGAAGTGAAATGAAACAGGCTATGCACGCTCAGGGTTTCATGGTTGAATAAGTGAATTAATCAATGACTGCTATCTGCTCTTATCTAAATTTTTGTGCTTCCCCAAAATTACTATGTTAAAACGCTACCCTCCAAGGTGATGGTGTTAAGAAGTGAGGCCTTTGGCAGGTAATTAGATTGAGGGTATGGCCCTCATAAATTGCATTAATGATTGTATAAAAGATGCCCAGGAAACTTGTTCACCCCTTGCATCATGTGAGTCCACCGCAAGAAAATGCCATCTATGAATCAGAATATGGGCCCTTTCCAGAACACCGAATCTGCTCCTGCCTTGATCTTGAACTTCTCAACCTGCAGAGCTGTGGTAAATAATTTTCTGTTTTAGAAACTACCCAGTCTAAGGTATTTTGCTATAGCATCCTGAATAAACTAAGATAGCCCTCATATCACTACCAGAAAAAGCAGTTACAATAAAAAATTATATATGATAACTAAATAAAATAGAAAAAATAAAAATATATACATCATGATATGGGTTTCGACATTTATCTTTTGCTGCATGACTTCACGTTATGAAATTCAATAACATAGAACTCCCTCATGGAATTCCACCATAGGAGCTTGTCCTTTGCCATGGTAGCACCAAGCAACTGCACAGAGCAACAGATGGGAGTTGTCTGTAGCTCCTGCAATAGCAGGCTTAGGAACATCCACTGGATTTTTCCTTTCTCTAACTTTTTTTTTTCTTTACATGTTTTATAGTATTTGAAGTCAAAGTGATATAAAAATAATGTATTTTTTTAAACAAAAGCACAAAATAGCAATCTTAGCATGACTGAGCAAAGAGTACAAGATCATACAGCTAGTAAGAGGGTGGAGCTGGAATTAGAACTCATGCCTGACTTAAAGCTTGTGATCTCAATTGTTCTGTAATATGCATACCAATTACAACACCTACTACAGGTGAAAGTGAAGTTAAAAGGGAAGAGAGGCCAAAGGCAGGGAAGAAAAAAAGATTTCAGTGAAACCTGTTAAAATCATCTTCACAGTTCCTAATAAGTTATCATGAGTTTGTTGTCTAAGGCCTATGAATTGAAGGAACTTAGGTAAGCAACTCATGATAGCAGCACGTTCCATGGATTTTGAAAGTCAGTAACAGTAGCTACTCATAGGACAAGTACTGGGAGACTGGGTGCTTCAAATGGAAATAGGTAGTAGTTTCCTATGTAATTTACAAGGGAACATTTAGTGGAGTTTAGGAACTTCAATGAAACCAATTACTAGAATTCTGAAATTGTGAGTTTCTTCATGTTTTACATATGGGTCAAGTGAGTAGGAGTAACCAGGAATTCTCAGTCCACATGCTTAATGTTAGAATGTTTATTTGTCTTAATTAACTTTCTTAATAAATCAAAATATAGCTCATCTATTTCATGGATGTCCAAGGTTACTTGGAGAGAGAAATATAACGTGGATATGATTCCACCCAACTAATTAGTGGAAAAATCCATGGAAATTTTCAGGAGTTACTGAGATACATAATCAAAAAACTATTTTACATTCAATGGCAACTTGGTGAAAGAACGTGTGCTGGGGGCTACAAAAAGATGACACACAAAACCTGACCTCAGAAGGGATTTAAATTTACCAGTCAGGATAAGATACGTGTAAAAATAACTTTGATGCAAAGCATTTAAATTGGTAAATTAGATTACCGTTACAGACAGAATAAATATTTTTAGTAATAAGAAGGAAAAAATTTAATGAAATGAGAATTCAGTTGTTCAAGGTTAGAGAGGCAAAACTGATTATTAAGGCATTTCAGCAACATTATGATTAGTAGGATAATTCAGTTTTGCACCAAGACCAATTTGACCTTACAGAAATTAAAATCTCGTCTCTTAACAAGACAGAAAATATCAGATGAGAAATGAGCAATTACCAGTCGATGCCCACTCTCTGACAACTCTAATGTTTACATCAAAAGTGCATCCTGTAATGCAGTGCAAGAGCATTTTTGTCAGACAATAATGCTTGGAGGCATTAAAAAGCACCTGCTGCTTTAAAAAGTTGTGCCTTGGCAGACAGGCATCAAACTGCAAATTATGGCTACAAATTTCTGTTGTTTGAAAACCTGCTCATTAGAGTAGAATAAAAACAAGTGCTACTTACGGCTTACTGTCTGATGTATAGTCAATAGCTCTCTCTCTCTTTCTCTCTCTCTTTTAAGTATGTGTTACTGTTACTATGTTTAATATCATATAGATTGTACTCATGAATGTATATGTATGGGTTTGTATGTATATAAAGCAGCTTAGTATATTATGCTCTCTAAGGAAAGTGTTTTTTCCTTAGAGAAAAACGAAAAGGGTGTCAAGTTCTTCTGCACCAAGAATTATTTCATCTTTTTCCACTTCTAAGAGTACATAATTTAAACATAATTATAATCTACATAATGACTGAGTGTACAGTATTTATTTCTGCTATTGTATGCTATTTCTGCAAAACAGATTACCACAAATTTAGTGGCTGATAACGCAGATTTGTTATCTCATGTTTTATACATCAAAAGTGTGGTAAGCTCAACTGGTTTCTCTATGCTGGGTTTCACAAGACCAAAATTAAGTGTTCTGCAGGACTGTGTTTCTTTCTGGAGGTTCTGGAGATGATTCTGCTTCTAGGCTTTTTTTGAGTGGCTGGCAGAATTCAGTTCCATGCAGCTTTAAGACTGAACTTCCCATTTGCTTTTTGGCTGTCAGTCAAGGGTTACTTCTACCTGCTAGAAGCTGCCCATATTCCTTAACTTATGGCTCCGTTCTTCCATCTTAAGTCAGTTAGGGACAGTAGAGTCCTCCCCTTTTCACCCATCCCTTCTCTGCCTCTCTCTTCGGCCATATTTCTCTGACTCCACCTGTGAAATTTCTCTGCTATTAAGGCTCAGGTGATTAGACTGGGCCCATCTGGATAATCCAGGAGGCTCTCCCTGTTTTTGACTGTTGATTAATCACTTCATTTATCTGCAAAGTCCCTTTCTGGCAATACCTACATTAGTGTGGATTGAGTAACAAGAAAATGGGAATCTTGAAAGAAAGGTTTTATAATTCTGCCTGCCACAGTCATTACTGGTCATCTGGTTACTGCGAAAACTATAAGATATAATTTAAGTACAGTTGTCCCTTGGTATCCATGGGGGATTGTTTCTAGGATCTCCACAAATAACAAAGTCCACAGATGCCCAATCTCTTGTATAAAATGGCACAGTGTTTTCATATAACCTGCAACAGGTACTTTCATATACCTTAAATCATCTCTAGATTACTTATAATTTCTAATGCAATGTAAATGCTATATAAATAGTTGTTATATTATAATGTTTTTATTTGTATTACTTTTTGTTACTTTTCCCTACTCTGTGCGATCCATGATTGGTTGAATTCAGAGACAGGAATACGGAGGGCCAACTGTACTACAATTTAATTAACTGTGCTGTTATACTTAAAAACTAACTACTTTAACATAAGCTAATTATGAACATCTTTCTTCCATGAAAAATGAATCTTCTTAAAACTTCTCTTGCCAGTATTTGAAAATCATGGCCTTGATAAAGAGTGAAATACCATTTAGGCCCATGTACTTGTAAGAAAATAATGAATTTTCCTAATTCAACCTCATGAAAGTAGTATTTAAGCGAGTGTAATATCCCCCTTTTATGTTCACTCTACTATCTTCACTAACAACATCAATCAACTCTAAACTTTGTCTGGTTTTAAGGAAGTCACAGAACTTCAATATATAACTTTCTTTGTATTTACTGATTATTTCACCAAAATTCTTCATGCTAAACTCAGAAAAGCTAAATGATTTGTCTAAGGTCAAATGACTGCTACTTAGAAGCTAGGTTATATCTTTACTTATAAAAAAATATTTCTTGGTATGCATTTTTTGTTACTATACATAGAAAATATAATTTTTATTTATCATTCAACCTATTCACAATATTGTTGGGTTAGCCTTATTGTCACTTTTTAAAAGTTTTTAAGATATTAAATATAACTGTACCATGTGCTTATAGTCACCTATTTACTAGGCTCAGATAATGTTAAAATTTACTGAGGTTTTTATTCGGTCATCAAGGTCACTGTACCATATTAAATCTGACAATGATCAGTTAATAACTCTGAGGATAACCTTATGACTAGTTATATAACCTGATAAAAGTGATAGATTTACTATATTACACCTCAGTTATGAGTTTAATAAGAAGAGAAAAAGAATTAGTTTTGTTAGTACAAAGCTTCATCAACTCTTTCTCGTCCTTGAAGTTCTAAGCTTGCTTTTTAAAAAAGTTCTAAAAAGTGCTGTATGGGCTGTTCTATATAGTTGTGCTTTTACTTTTATCTGAATCTGTTAAAAAATTAATTATATAATCATAATCTTTTCAATATTTTACACACATTTTAGCTCTTATATAACAACTTATTGCAGCTATTACAAACTGAAATATTCAAGTATTAAATCATTTCATATTCAAATCATTTGTAACTTTTATTTTTTCTTTAAAAAGTCAGATTGCATTACTTCACACTCATTGTAGCTCGTTCACTTATTTATCTGGTATTTATTGCTCTGTGGTACTCTATTTTAAGTGTTGGGGCCAAGGAATAAAAAAATACAAAATTCAGGTCTTTAGGGCATTTACATTCTAACACGGAGACAGACTATAAAGAAGAAGCAGATTTTTAAAAAATTCAAGGCTTCAAGTATGATTGTGCCCCTTGCACGCCAGTCTTGGTGACAGAGCAAAACCCTATCTCAAAAAACAAAACAAAACAAAACAAAATCCTTAAGGTTTCAGAACATTTTAAGTGCTCTGGACCCTGAAAGTAGAGTAAGCAAAAAGAGATCAAAGGGGACAGGACAGGTGTGCTATTTTACATAGGATGACTGGTAAGAAACTCTGCGAAGGGGAAATTAAGCAGAGACCTGAATGGTGTGGAGACCTGAGCCAAAAGTGCCAGGGAAAGAGCTTTACAGGCAGAGGTCAGCAAATGAGAGTCCCTGGAGCAGGAAAGAACTTGGATGCATGAGGGAACAGGCAAGTTGAAGTTGCTGGGGCAGGAAAAGTGAATGAATGCTGAGATGAGCAGAACCACTCCTAACTGTTCAGGACTGGGACAAGAGTCCAAAAGAGGTTAAACATCATATTTAATTTTTCTAATTTTTAATTTTAAAAACAACTTTATTGATATTTAATTCACATATAATGGAATTCACCTATTTAAAGTGTACAGTCCAGTGGCTCTTAGTATGTTCACAGAATTGTGTGGTCATCACAACATCACAATCAATTTTAGAATATACAGAAAATAAGCTGAATAAAAATGAATAGTCATTTTCCATTTCTCCACTCCTCCCAACCCCATCCAGCCCCAGTCATCATTCATGTATCTATTTTTTGCCTCTATATATTTGCCTATTCTGGACTCATTTTAAAAATATTCTTCCTATCTAACTGTAATTATGTATCCTTTGACCAACATTGCCCCTTCTTTCCTCCCCATAACCACCCAAGCCTCTGGTAACCACCATTCTACTCTCTCCTTCTATGAGACAGACAAAACATGTAATCTATAGTTTTGTTTGGCTAAGGAGATGGTTCACTTCAAAACAATTAGAGAAGATTTGTTACGTTTCTTGAAATAGGGTGAAAAACTATAATTCAGTATTTTGATAATGCTAAGAAAACTAGAACTACTGTATGATCCAGATATCTCACTATCGGGTATATATCCAAAGGAAACGTCTAAAAACTTAAAAGCTACAAAGCAAGCTATACTCATGGCCTGGCCAACATTCCCACTTCATGACCTAGCAGTGAAAGGGGCCTGTTCACCCCTCTTTGGCCAGGACTGGCATCTGTAGGTCTGAACTGAGAGCACTGATCTGTTGAGCTGGGTAGGGGCAAGGCTGGATCTATGCCAAAAACTCCTGATGGCGATTGGACCCACCTAAACCCAAAGTAGAGTCTTACCTGCTCCAGCTCCCCAGAGAGCTGAAATGGGGCAGATTTTCCTGTTGATGTCTACTTTTCTAGTTTGAGATTTTCAGACTTCTTGAAACTCTTTCCACGACTACACCACTCCACCAGAAGAGGCAGCAGAGTTACCCGAAGTACTTGTCCTGTTGAATGCCTTGGGAAGCCCCAACTTTAAACAAATGTAGCCATTATTCTCCTCAGTCCTATGTCCTCACCTGGAATGCCCTCTCCTCTAATCCCTGTTTTATCAGTTACCGAACTTTCAAAACTCTTTCAAAAGAGGTCATAAAACGTGTTTGGGTGTTGTTTGTAAAATATATCACTTGCTAATGTGCGGGAGCGTCCAAGGGCAGTATTAAAGAGAAGGATGGAGAAGTCATCAGGGCCATGCCTTACGGCAGTTTCAAGGCTGCATAGGACTCTCTCTCAAATATTAATATGTGTGCATTGCATTATTTGTGGGAATTGGATCCAGACTTAAATTAAAAGTGTATCATAAAGTCCCTACCATCAAAATATTTCTTCATTTTGAGTTAGTTGTCAAATTATATATTTTTTTCTCTAGCAATCTCAACTTTATTCATAGTAATTTGCTGCATTGTGATTTTGGTGACTTTAGGTTGTGAACTCTTTATATGTAAGACTTCAGCTATGGAAATGCCGTGACACTGCTTATGACATTTTATACAGTTTTTAAATTTCTATTTATTTTGAAACAACCTTAAACCTAAGAATAAGTTAGAAATAGGTACAAATAAAACCCTTCATTTTTCCCCAACCATTTGATAGTACATTGCCAAAATTAAGCTCCATATATTCCAAATACTTTATTTCCTACAAATAAGACTATTATCTTATGCAATTATAAAATGACTGTCAGATTAGGAAATTAACATTTCTACAATACTATTATTAATACTCAGAGAGAGAATGTATGAAATTGAGATTTTACAATTTTTAATTCCATGTCTTTTTAATGGAAAAGACATGGAATCAACTTACATCCCCGTCAATAGTAGACTGGATAGAGAAAATGTGGTACATATACACCATGGAATACTGCATAGCCATAAAAAAGAACAAAATCATGTCCTTTGCAGCAACATGGATGGAGATGGAGGCAATTATCCCAAGCAAACTAATGCAGGAACAGAAAACCAAGCACTGCATGACCTCACTTATAAGTCAGAACTAAACACTGAGAACACATGGACAAAAAAAAAAAGGAAAAGGAATGACAGACACTGGGGCCTACTTGAAGGTGGAGAATACGGGGAGGGAGAGGATCAAAAAACTACCTACTGGGTAGTAGGCTTATTAGCTGGGTGATGAAATAATCAGTACACCACACCCCATGACACACAATTTACCTATATAACAAACCTGCACATGTATCCCAGAACCTAAAATAAACAGTAAAAAGGCTGGGAATGTTGTCTCACACCTGTAATCCCAGCACTTGGGGAGGCTGAGGTGGGCATATCACTTAAGGTCAGAAGCTCGAGACCAGCCCGGCCAACATGGTGAAACCCATCTCTACTAAAAATACAAAAATCAGCTGGACATGGTGATGCGCGCCTGTAGTCCCAGCTACTCAGGAGGCTGAGGCAGGAGAATCGTTTGAACCCAGAAGGTGAAGGTTGCAGTGTCCCAAAATCATGCCGCAGTACTCCAGCCTGGCGACAGAGATTCTGTCACACACACACAAAAAAGATTATAGATTATGGAAAGGTTTCAGTTACTTTAATTCCCTTTGGAGTTAGTGGTTGAAATATAGTAGAGGAAAAGACTACTGGAGAAGAATTAATGAAACGAATAGACCAGTGTATGAAAGGACTGTCTACATTTGTATTGAAATCACCAATATTTATGACAGATAATCATAATTAAGCAAAAATAATGGAGAAATAAGAAGAAATGACCTAGAAGTAGGTAGAATAAAAATAATTATATGGTACTTCTAACATCATATAAAATTTAAACTTAGATTTATTGTTGTTGTTAGAGACAAAGAAAAAAATGTTCTAAAAGTCTATAAAGGGACACCATGGACAGCTACCTCACCTCTACATCCAGGGGAGCAGGGCTATGGGGTGAAAACAACCATTGCTTGACAGGGCTACAAGGGAGAGCTAGGCCTTCAGGAGATAGTCAGATTTCTTTGGGGGGAAAAAAAAGACAAAAAGAAAAATCATGTATTTGTTTATGTGTTGTTGTTTTTTTGCCTCCTTAAATTGTACCTGTTATTTAAATCCCCACTATGCTTTTAACATTATTTTCATTATATCCTATTCAAAAATTTTGTATTTTGACTAAGATTTTTGGACATCTATAATACTTTGTCTTCAGAAGTTTTCTGCACTTTTGATCTATCAATCACATCAATTGATAGATAGATAAATTTATGAGAGATATCAAAAAGTAGAACTGTGGTTTAGTCAAAGCTCTTAAGATCAATGTATATTTGTGATATGAAATCACTCTTGATTTTTTCTTACTTCCTTTATGTCCAGACTGCCAGACTATCAAGTCTTGTGTTTTCTGTCTCAAAATATATTGAGCCTTCTTGCCATCTCTTACCTAAGCCACCACCTTAATCTAACCACGTCATCACTTTCATTCCTATTGATTGTTATAGTTTGATCTGTGTCCCCACCAAATCTCATGTTGAATTGTCGTCCCCAGTGTTGGAGGTGAGGCCTGGTGGGAGGTGATTGGATCAGGGGAGTGGATTTCTCACCAATGGTTTAGCACCACCACCTTGGTGCTATTCTTGTGATAGAGCGTGAGTTCTCATGAGTTGTGGTTGTTCAAAGTGTGCAGCACCTCCCTGCTTGCTCCCTCTTGCTCTTGCTCCTGCCATATGAGATGCTTCTTTCCCCTTTTCCTCTGCCATGATTGGAAGCCTCCTGAGGTCTCCACAATCATTATACTTCCTGCACAGCCTGCAGAGTTGTGAGTCAATTAAACCTCTTTTCTTTATAAATTAGCAGTCTTGCGCTTCTTTATAGCAGTGTGAGAACAGACTAATACGTTGCTTTTCCTAATTCCAATTTTAATGTCCATTTATTCGCCAAATATAAGCCAGCTGAATAAAAACATATCACATTTTGTGATTTATTAAACTTAAATCCTCCAACTTATTCCCATTGTTCTCTGGAAAATTTGAAAACTTTACTATGAATATTAAATTCTTACATTAAATTCCTGCTAATTTCTCCAATGTCATTCCCCACCAATTTTCCCTATACTCACAAAATTCAGTAACACGGGCTTACTGCCAACTGTTAACACATGCCAAACCCTCCACAGTACAGATATTGTCATATATTCAATTTATCTCTCGGCCCCTTATTCACTCCAACACAGGTACACATATTCATCTCCATTCTATTCATGGCTAATTCCTTTATGTACTTCTGTGTCTTTTCTTGTATGGCACATACTTTGAGAGGTCTTTCCTTACTATTAATTCTCTCTGTTATTCAATTATTCTCCATCTCTGTATTCAATGTGTTTTCTTCATAACACATGTCATGCACACAGACAGATACATGCATATTACTTGGTTTAGTTATTTTTTACTTCTCATATAAAAGAGTTAGCTTACAAAAAGCAGAATCCATATATGTTTTATTAACGAATGCCTTGTGTCATGTCACTGGTACTTAATAGATGCCTACTGAATGATTTAATGAATTCAATCATCTGAGTGGGAGATAATTAAGAATTGAAAGTGAGTTTAGAAAGTAGAACAGTACTAGATGTAATAGAAGCAAATTTGTATCTGGATTTCTAATTTTAGAGATCTGAAGTCTAAATCCAAAACTGGAAGAAAACCAGTGATATTTGCATAAAGAGAAATAAGGATGAAATCTTATGGAAGACTAATATTCATTAGCCAGGAGAATCTATCAAGCAAAAAGAGGTATTTTATTTTATTTTATATATATAATATATATAATGTATAATGGTGTGTATATAATAATACATAAACACATATTTGTCTTATATTTGTAAGTACAACTAGAACCAATGTGCATCAGTAATGATTATTGATTGAAGCAAAGAAATGGAAAAATAAAATAAAACAACAAAAATATGCTCTGGTTAAATTCAGAAGAAAATAAATCATCGGAAGGTTATTGGATGGACAACTTAATTGACTAGAAATCTAGAGAAACTGGATTAGAAAATTGAGGACAATTAAATGAGCCTAGGTCCTTGAGAGCAAGCCAGGTTCATGGAACCAGCTACTAGGCTATCCCCACTGGTGACCTCGCTCTTAGAGGTCCACTCTGCTATATCACTGTAAGCTTAGCCACCCCTTCAATCCCCCTTGAACATTTCTGTTTGTTTGTTTTTTCACTTTTGTAAGATTTAGTCACTCAAGCTGCTTCTTTTGTGATAGGCCTACTTGCTTCTCTTCCAACAGTTTATTTAGTTAGAAGAAGGGTTTTCTAGACTCTCATGCACTCAGTAACGCACTAAGTGACTCCCCCCAAAATGGAAAGGTTGTTGAGAATGTCAAATGACAATTGTCAACAGCACACATGGTATATTTCTGCATTTTTGATCAGTAAAAGTGCAACAATTACAAAATTAGTAGACTTGTATTTACATGTTGACACTAATCAACTTCATGTGAGTGTGGACATTTGTAGCCAGAATTTACCAGGCATAGATTCCCACTCTTAACTTTTTAAGACGTCAGCTGTCAAGATACCAAGTCCTCAGGCTTTTATTGAGTTATTCTACCCATTGCACCCGGTGTTAAATATCTGCTAATCTTATGCTTAACTTTCTTCAACAAATATTTAGAACAGCTACAACATGCCTAATTCTAAAAATTCCCTAATTGGTCAAAATCACTGACTGATGATCTACTCATCTAGAGTACTAATTGTTCAAAGTCTTGTTGAAATTATAGCCCTAGTTGGACACATAAGCCCAGCTTTGATGACAGCCAAATGGATAAAAAAGATTGTAATGATATCTAAGCATCTGTTAAAACTAACTGTATCAATGATCTGTGAACCAAGCCAGGCTTTTGTGATGGATTATACCACTTCAGAGACATAATTATGGACTATGAGGTCAAACATTTACTTTTATAAAAGAGCACCTAAGTATGAAATTATACATTGCTCTATAGCATTTTAAGATGCTATCAAGTAGAACTATAGCCTCTTCAAATACAAAAATAAATGGAACATATGTGACTCAAAAGGCATTTAGTAGGTGGTACTTCTCTGTAGCATAAAAGAAGTTACAATTTTTATTGGACTTGCACTTTGCAAATCTTGCTTCTTAATAAAGCATAACAACTATTTGTTTCAGGTCTGAATGAACCACATAATAGGCATAAATCAGATACTCTTTCACCCTGGAGCCCTCTTCAGGGGATACCTATTGATGGACATCTGTGACAATGGACACACTCCAGTAGCTCATGCATCTTATCTGCTTAATATAGTAGGCAACAGAGTCAAAGATCAATAAAAAGATTAATGGTTTTAATTACTCCTATGTAACCAGTTGTGGGTAAAATTTTACTGGCTACTTCCACTGAGGGTAGCACACCACAGTCAACTTTTCAGTAAAGCTAATTTTACTTTCTGCTTGGTAAATTGCTCATTGACAATCCTGTAATGAGTCTGCTCTGTGTGTGACTGAACACTGGGCATGCTTTCACTTTCTAAACTCAAGAAAAAAGGGCCATAAAACTGATGAATTACACATAAACAATTTCTGTATAAAAAATACTAGGAAATAAGACAATTTCCAGGCAAAAATTCCCCTGCTTGAGCCATATGGAGCAAGCAAAAAGAGTATCAAACGAATGTTGTTATTTATGGAACTGCATGAGCTATGCTAATAAACACTGACAAGCATCTTCTGAGGATATATGGAGTAACTGACAAAGGAAATTATTTTCATTTTGACAAAAGAAGGCTGAAGACAAGCTCCTCAATCTATATGATTTGCTTGGGGCTCTGAAAGGTTTCTAGCAGTTCTTCTTAACTTATGCCCTGGTGTACCATCAGCTTTATCATGAGTTAATTCCTAGGTTAGTCCTTCTATACAAGGAATCAAGATACTAAATCATAACCTCAAAGAATGACTAAAATCATAGGCATTACATTTTGTTAGTTTTTATTTTAGTTTTGATGGTGCAAAGGGTGAATGTTGCCATGGTTAAAAAAAAAAAGTCATCTTAAAATTATTTACCTTACCATATTTGTCGATTATCTTATTTGTATTAGTTGTCCCCTTCTCAGTTAACATTATTGGAGTGTTTTTAAAATGCCACTAAATTAGGCTGTGACTGTCAAATGTTAATAAGCTATTGCACATAAATACCCAGGAATGTCTGCATTGGGGGTATAAGTTCAGAGGGACATTCAGTCTACCAGTAATGAAAGTGTAGGGAATTATATTAGGCAAATGCATAAACGTGATATTTCTTGTACAATCTTAAAGGAAAATAAAGACATTCTACAGAGCAATTCAATTATTTCCAAACTGAACAATGTTAGTTTACTTGCTCAATGACTTTGCACACAGTATGGGATATAAACTGGCCACTCTAAAACTGTCCTTGATTATCTGAGAACAAGAAACAAGTATTGGGACTGCCACATTTGAATGTTTACATGCAGTTTGGGGTGTAAGGTATTTACTAGGGTTAAATCCCACAAAAGGAAGGAAGAAGAAGCACAATTAGCCAGAGAAAGATGTCAAATGACAATACAGGCCAAATCACACTCATTCACACTAGTGGGGAGATTTGGAGCAAACATTTTCTGTTACAGTTGCCTGGCTTTTTTCCTCTGGTTTGGCTTGGTCATCAAATACACACTGCCTAAGGAAGTACATGCCCTTGGGTGAGTTCTGTAGCTGAGGCAGAATTTGAAGAAGCTAAGCATGATGATGGTCTCCTGATTACACTTTTTAAATCTGGGCAACAAGTCCTTACATAAAGGAGTACCTGCATGACACACCTCTGTTACAGTCCACACTTCAGGCTGCCCAGATGCATTTTAGGAAAGAAGGATTCTAGTGGACTTCTGATCCTGAAAAGAAGCTCAAAAGAGGGTGGTCAGTGGAACAGATTATAGCCTTCACTGGTGCAGTTAATCGTCATGCTGCGATTGATTTTCTTTGTTTTCCTTTGCCACTGTTCACTCTAGATTCTCCCTTACCTTCACCTACCACCTCTGCCTTTTTTGTCTGTTTCAGTGGCTTACTTCATACATGCACACACACGTGCCCACGTGTGTGTGTGTGCACGTGTGTGTGTGCATGTCTGAGAGAGGCAGACTGAGAGAGTAAAAGACTTATTATGGGAATTGGCTCACATAGTTACGGAGGCTGAGAATTTCCACCACCTGCCATCTGGAAGATGGAAAAGCAGAAAAACCATTGGTTATGTCATGTCCAAAGACCCAAACAAACAGGAGCTCCAATGTCTGAGAGCAGGAAAAGATGGTTGTCCTAGCTCAAGAGGCAAGAGAGAGAGAATCTGTCTATCCTTTGCCTTTTCGTTCTAATCAGCCCTTCAATGGATTAAGTGTTGCTCACCCACATTACTGAGAGTAGACCTTCTTTACTCAATGTACCAATTACGTGCTAATCTCACCCTTACAGACGCACCCAAAAATAATGTTTTAGCAGATACGTGGGCATCGCTTAGCCCAGTCTAATATACACATAAAATTAACCATTATTTCATCTGGTGATATAATGTCGCAGTGTGGCAAGAAAGTACCAAAAGTTTTTCACACATACTGCTTCCATTGTGTAGCAGCCATCCTACTCCCTGCTGAGGATCCAGGTCAATCATTCTGCAAAAATAATGACCCTTTACTTGTCTCCAGGCCCCTGGAAGCAAGAAACATAAAGGGCTTCAATGGCATCAGTAGTTATATTTTATTGGGTCATTTCCTATGTTCCCAGAAAAAATGTACTTCTTTGAGAGACTAGGACCTCTAACACCTGAGCACAGAGTGTGCAGACATGAAGCATGAAGCACCATAAGGAAACATCGGGAGTGATGATAAGTAAGGCAAGCCCTGTTTCTGCTTCTTGGATTCAAGACTCATTATTCCTTCTATTGGAAGTCCAATAGCACCTAAAGGACTTTTCATCAATGAGTATACAACATCCTGGAGAAGAGTATCGCCTCCTCCAGGGTATTGCCTGCATGTTGGCTCTTCAGCTATGCTCTCAGCAAGTCATTTTACTGCTCAATATGACCAGCAACTTCTGGGAAGTGCAGTAGGTGACATAACCAGTGGACCCTGTGTTTAGGGACCTTCTCTAGGACCTCCTTTGCTCTAAATTAGGTCTCTAGTTACTTTGATAATATATGGGATTACATACCATTGAAAGAAACCTTCTGTAAGTTCTTGGAAAATGATGTTTACTGAGGCCTTGTAGGCAGTAAAGGCAAAACCCTTACCTAGATTGCATGTCCATTTCTGTCAGAATAATATTTACACTTTCCAAAATGGAAAGGTCTGGATGTTAATTTATCACAATTTAACCAGTTGGTTTTCTGAGGAAATGATGCATAAAACAATCGTAATAATTTTGGGTACAAAAAAAGAAAACAGAACAACTAAAATAAAGTTCAAAAGTGACATATGTTTTAGTATTGTAGTATAGACACAAGAAGGAAAGATAATTTTAGACTTTGTTATGAATGCATATTAATATGTGTTGGCAACCACTAAAAACTAAATACCTCCTCCACACAAAAACAAAATAGTGATTAGATAATCACATTTTAATAGGTCATCTAAGAGACAACACTGGAATTCAACAGAGAAATGACAAGAAACACCTAAAACAAGGAAGGAGAGAGGAATGAATATTGTTAGAATGACAGTACTACCAAGTGTGATCTAAAGATTCAGGGTAATCTCTATCAAAATGCCAACGTAATTTCTGACAGAAAAAAAGCAATTCTAAAATTTGTATGGAACCAAAAAAGAGCCCAAATAGCCAACGCAATCCTGGGTACAAAGATATGAGCTGGAGGCATAACACTACCTCACTTCAAAATATATTACAAGGTTATGGTAACCAAAACAGCCGTTATTGGTATAAAAACAGATGCACAGACCAGTGGAACAGAATAAAGAACTCAGAAATAAATCCATGTATTTGCAGCTAGCTGGTTTTCAACAAAGGCACCAAAAACATACATTGGAGAAAGAATATTCTCTTCCATAAATGGAATAAGTGGTGTAGGAAAAATTGGATATTCTTATGCGGAAGAACAAACTAATCCCTTGCCTCAAATACAAAAAATCAAATCAATGTGAATAAAAGACTTAAATGTAAGACCAGAAACTGTAAAACTACTCAAAGAAAATGTAGGGGAAACACTTGAGGACATCGGTCTAGGCAAAGATTTAAGGCTAAGACCTCAAAACCACAGGCAACAGGAGAAAAATTAAGCAAATAGAGCTAGATTAAACTAAAAAGCTTCTGCACAGCAAGGGACCAATAAACAGAGTAAAGAAGCAACTTATTGAATGAGAAAAAAAAAACTCCCCTCCCCTCCACTTCCCTCCCCTCTCCTCTCCTTTTCTTTTCTTTGTCTTCTTTTACTTTAAGTCCTGGGATACATGTGTAGAACATGCAGGTTTGTTACATAGTGTGCCACAGTGGTTTGCTTCACCTATTGACCCATCATATAGGTTTCCCCCCTTTGCCCGCCACTCCCCAACAGGCCTCAGTGTGTGTTGTTCCCCTCCCTGTGTCCGTGTGTTCTCATTGTTCAACTCCCACTTATGAGTGAGAACTTGTGGTGTTTGGTTTTCTGTTCCTGTGTTAGTTTGCTGAGGATGATGGCTTCCAGCTTCATCCATGTCCCTGCAAAGGACATGATCTCATTCCTTTTTATGGCTACATAGTGTTCCATAATGTATATGTACCACAATTACTTTATCCATTCTATCACTGATGGGAATTAGGGTTGGTTCCATGTCTTTGCTATTGTAAACAGTGTGGCAATAAACATATGTGTGCATGTGCCTTTATAGTAGAATGATTTATATTCCTTTTTGTATATACCCAGTAATGGGATTGCTGGGTCAAATGGTATTTCTGGTTGTAGATCCTGGAGGATCTTAGATTGCTACTCTATGTTCCACAATGGTTGAACTAATTTACATTCCCACCAACAGTGTAAAAGCATTCCTCTTTCTCCACAGCCTCACCAACATCTATTGTTTCCAGACTTTTTAATAATCGCTATTCTGACTGGCATGAGATGGTATCTCATTATGGTTTTGATTTGCATTTCTCTAATGATCAGTGATGTTGAGCTTTTTTTCACATGTTTTTTGGCTGCATAAATGTCTTCTTTTGAGAAGTGTCTGTTTATATCCTTTGTCCACTTTTTCATGTGGTCGTTTGTTTTTTCTTGTAAATTTTTAAAAATTGTTTGTAGATTCTGAATATTAGACCTTGTCAGATGGATAGATCACAAAAATTTTCTCCCATTCTTTTGGTTGCCTTAAAAATATTTTCAAAGTATTCATCCAACATGGACTAATATCCAGAATATACAAAATATTCAAATAACTCAACAGTGAAAATATTCAACCAATCCCATTTTAAAAGTGGGAAAAGGATATGAGTTAATATTTATCAAAAGAAGACATACAGATTGCCAACAGATATATGGAAAAATGCTCATCATTGCTAATCATCAAGGAAATACAAATCAAAACCACAATGAGATATTTCCTTAACCCAGTTAGAATCGCTATGATACAAACAACAACAAGTAACAAATGCTAGTGAGGATGAGGAGACAAGGGAATTCTTCTCATATACTGTTGGTGGGAGCATACTCCCACTATGAACAGCCACTATGGAAAACAGTATAGAGAGTTCTTCAAAAAGTTAAAATAGAACTACCATATCATCGAGCAATCCTGCTACTGGGTATTAATGCAAAGGAAAGGAAATCAGTATATCAAAGTAATGCCTTCACCCCCCATGTTTATTGCAGCACTATTCACAATAGCAAAGATATAGAATCAACTTAAGTGTCTATCAGTGGATGAATGGATAAAGAATATGTGATACACATACACAATGGAATACTATTTATCCATAAGAAGGCATAAAATAATGTCATTTGTGTCAACATGGATGCAATTAGAGGCCATTATCTTAAGTAAAATAAGCTCAGCACGAAAAACACAAACGTAGCATGTTCTCATTCATATGTAGTAGCTAAAAGTGGGATCACATGGAGGTAGACAGTGAAAACATAGAAACTTTCTGGGATGAGTGAGTGGATGAGGAGGGCAAATGATGAACAGACAATGATTAAAGGGTACAAACACATAGTAAGATTTAAAAAAATACATTCCATGTTTGATAGCAGAGTAGGGTGAATATACTTAACAAAAGTGTATTGAATTTAGGTAATGGACACCATAAATGACTTGATCACTATACATTATATATATATGTAACAAAATTTTACATGTATCTCATAAATTAGTACAAATTAAAGGAATATGTTTTAAATAACTTCATGATATTTCTCCATCACATTCTCCTTTAGGCGAATAGGTGAATAAACACAATTTAATTAAAACTCAACAGTAAGTAGCATGAAAAGCAAGCCATGAACTGCAGAAAATATTTGCAATTCACAAATAAGAGTAATATTGAAAAGACACATAGAAATTCTTTAAATAGTTGATAAGAAAAAGACAACTGAAATGGAAAAAAATCAGTGAAATATATTACTGAAGAATTTGTAGACCTTAGTGTATGCATTTTAACAAATATACATGGAGATCAACCTTAGTAATAATCAGGCAAAGCAAAAGAAAATAGCTACTTAAATTTTTAAATCCATTGTAATACAATGGATTGATAGAAAAGATGAAGGCTAAACATAGTAAGTGTTGCTGAATGAGCAAATCATAAATTGGTAAAACTAACATGGAAGAAATTTGTCATTATTTAGTAAATTTGAAGCTATATGTACTATATTAAAAGTGTCACAGACTGAGTAGCTTGAATAACCGAAATTTATTTTCACACATTTTTGGAGGTTAGATGTGCAACATCAAGGTTCCCACAGGGTTGGCTGCATTTGAGGCTTCTCTTTGGCTTGCAGATGACTGTCTTCTCCTAGTGTCTTCACATGATATTTCCTCTATGTTCTGTGTTGTAATTTCTTCTTTTAAGGACACTAGTCATATTGGATTAGGGTCCACCCAAATTACCTTATTTTACCTTAATTATTTCTTTAAAGACTCTATCTCCAAATACCATCTCATTCTGAAGTACTGGGCGTTAGAACTTAAGAACATATGAATTTTGTAGGGATACAATCTCCCTATGACACATACCATTTGAACCATAAATTTCATATACAGCCTAAAGTAACGTTTGAACTCACAAAACTTATATATAAATGTGTATGGCAATATTGTTGTAAAAAATGGAAATGGCAAAAATATCATCTTTCCTAATTAGATGGCTAGTGTAAACAAAACAGTCACATTTTATAAGAATTAGAGGCTTGATACTAAGAAATTCTCATATGAACCAGGTGAAGATGGATGAAACCTAAATTTGGTATTGGCAGATTGTGTGAATCTCTTATTAGAATGCTTAATATCTAAATCATAGAATTCTTTCTTTGTAATTGGTATGGACCAAAATATGATTGAGTTACTGGAGATCATGCTTATTTACTGCTTATTTTCTTAAATAGAAACTATACGCCATCGAGAATAAGATTAACTTGTAGTGAGTACTTTATTTCTACTACTGACTTCTAGATAGATCAAAGAAAAACACTTAGTTTGGGGGGCCCTGATACCCCATTTGCAAAATCAAATTTCTGATCTGATCTTTCTCTTGAAGAGACTGTGAATTATGATTCTTCATTCATGAGAGATGATTGATTTTTTTACTTTGTCATAGGGTGCCATATCATTTCACTTCTAATCAGGAGAAAGATTCTATCTGTAAATAACAAGATATTTTACCTCGAATTTTCTAGCATTTAAAACCCAAATGGTACATGAAACTTTCTATAGTAGTGGATAATTTATCACTCGGGATCTGTCATTAATGTTTTTCACACACATTATCTCCCTAAAGTGAGCATTTCTCAAATTCCACACTGCTCTTCAAATTATTTACTGGCACCTCTGGATGAAACCAAAGGCGTGTACGTATTTGTATTTTTCATGTCATATTCACAGTTTCCGGGTATACATTTTTTATTGGGAAGATGAATAATTACATGCTTACTGCTCCATCCAATTTATTTCCTGGAAAATCAGTCAAAACTCTGTTTTGTATAGCGTTTACAATATATTATGTCCTATGAGGTTAAGTTGTTTTTTTCTGTTTATTTGGGAATAAAATGCATTCTTGAACAACAAAAAACTTTTAAACATTTTTTTTTAAAATGGGTAAAGCAAAGTTACTTGAATTGAAACGCTCTTGTTTAAAAGCAACTGTGACATGTTTTGAGATAAAGACAAGAATATTAAAGCATTAAAAAATAATAAAACACAGCCAGGAGTGGTGGCTCATGCCTATAATCCCAGCGCTTTGAGAGGCTGAGATGGGAGGATCACTTGAGGCCAGGTTTGAGACCAGCCTGGTCAACATAGCAAGACCGCTTCTCTAAAAATAAAAATAAAAAAATTTCCCGTCTCTACTAAAAAATACAAAAAATTAGATGGGCTTGGTGGCGGGCGCCTGTAATCCCAGCACTTTGGGAGGCCAAGGCTGGCGGATCACCAGGTCAGGAGATGGAGACCATTCTGGCTAACACGGTGAAACCCCGTCTCTACTAAAAATACAAAAAAAAAATATTAGCCAGGCGTGGTGGCGGGCGCCTGTAGTCCCACTTACTGGGGAAGCTGAGGCAGGAGAACGGCGTGAACCCGGGAGGCGGAGCTTGCAGTGAGCCGAGATGGTGCCACTGCACTCCAGCCTCGGTGACAGAGCGAGACACCTCCTCAAAAAAAAAAAAAAAAATTAAAATTAAATAATAATAATTTAAAAATTCAATAGAGTTTCTGAGTGTATAAACTTCCAAATTGTTTGGAATGAGAGATAGTATTGTATAGTGGGTAACTGATACCCAAAGGGACTCAGTTATGGGCAGAATGAAGGAAGCATTGTGATGATAACTCATGCATCTGAAATAAACTTTGCTCTCATATATGAAGCAAACTATTGAAAGGCAGACAAGTAAATTTCTATCTGCAGACAAATAAATATCTATTTATTTTGATATAATTTTAATGTATTTTATCAAAATATCCTAGGAAACATCCCCAGAATAAACAGAAACGTAGCTGTGTAAAGGTATCACTTAGAACTACGTTTCGTTAGTTCTGTTAGTTAGCTAGCTAGCTGGTGTAGTCTGAAATGAGACTTTCCTTACCTGATAACGACAGACTTGTCCTCCACGAGGAAGTTTTATGCTTCCTTTTCATTATTTTATATCACCTGGTTAAAATATAACTTAACAGACTTGTCTGTCATATAAAGCATTTTGATCACAGACCGAGTGCCAAAGATTTGCATCTGCTTGAGACACATTTGGCGAGGAATCTCAGGGGTCAGTGACCAAGGCCAAAGAAAGAAAGAGATAGTAGATGATCTCTGTTCACTGCCACTTGCATGATATTAAACATTGTAAGTGACAAAGAACTGAGTTTTTAAATATTTACTGAAAATATGCTAAATATTTTCTAGCTGTATAACATCCCATGATTCTTGAGGAAAAGGTTTCTTTGTCAGTTTGTGTTTAAAGGAAAGCTGTATAGGGAAGAAAAAGACCATTAGAGTTGTGGGTACAAACTTCAGCAACCCCCCGCCCACAAAAATTGTTAATTTCAGATTATATGGCATCTGAATTATGTAACACTAAAATTTTCTGGAGGTGCTATGAGTATTATAACAATTACTGATGATTATGTCCTATTGATGATAGTAATAGAAGTATAAAGTAGAACATATTAGAATGATCAATTATTTCAATGAATAGGATTAAATGTGAAGATAACGAGTATTGAGTTTGTATCTATGTTTAGCCATCAGTGGCGAATGATTCTATGCATGCATTCTGAGGAATCTGTATTGGGAAGTTCAGAAGAATATTAAAAAATAAAGGAAATAGGTATTTAACATCACTGCTTCAGAAAAGGCACTTGATGAAAAGACTAGAATTGTCCCATTGTAATGGTAGTCCTACTGAGAAGAGTGAGAAATAAATTTATAAGATGCTTTCCACAAAAAGGGAAATAACTGGTGAAATGGCAAGAATTTCTATCAAGAATTAATATTCTGGACTAGTAAACTAAATTATTACTAAGATTTTAAAAAATTCTTTAAAATTCCACTTAAATATTTTTGGATAGTGGAATTAAAATGCATTTATATTTTTTCAAATATTTTTTCTGTATTATTCAAATTGTCCATAATTATATTACTTAATAAATAAAATAATCATTTAAAAAAATTTTAGTTACTTATTCCTTATATTAACTGTATTTTTACATCTGTTAACTGATTTCTCTTTATTACCACCGCTCCACTGCCCTCTCTGGTAACCACCATTTTACTTTCTACTTCCATAACATCCACATTTTTAACTCCCATCTATGAGTGAGAACATGTGATATCTAGTTTTCTGTGCCTGGCTTATTTCATCATAAAGATCTTCAATTCTATCCATGTTGCTGCAAATGACAAGGTTTCATTGATATGGCTGAATAATATCCCATTGTATTTGATAGTATAGTAGGGGAGATTATAGTAAATAATAATTTATTGTACATTTCAAAATAGCCAGAAGAGAAGACTGCAATGATGTCAACACAAAGTGAAGATACATGTTTGTGGTGATGGATATCTCAATCACCCTGATTTGATCCTTACACATCATATGCATGAATCAAAACATCTCATATACCCCCAACATATGCACAACTAGTGTGTCAATAAAAACCATAAACAATCATTATATACAAAAACTGTTAATACAATGAATATTTATACAGTATACAAAGATTTTTTATCTTAGGCTCATGAAAGAAAACTTCTGAGGGGACTATCAGCAAAACTATAAGACAAATTTTGACCTACTACTCCTGTAGCTTGGCTGTTGCTTCTGTTAAGCTCAATAACCTGGAGGTTTGAATAGATATATTGCTGTGTAAGTACCCATAGGATTTGGGATGAAATGTACAAAGGAGAAAGTAGAAAATAAGGGAGCTAGAGGATTGTCTTAAGCCAGATTCCCTCTAGACAGACGCTAAGGCAAAGATGTGGGTGAAAGAGATTCATTGAGGGAGGAAATGTTCTCAGGAGATGGAGAGTAATGGAAGAAGGCTAGGGCAGGGAAATAAAAGCAGGCAAAGATAAGACTTTTTTTTTCATCTGGGAGATGAGCTTCTGCCTTACCCTACAGAAGACTTTGGAGGATGGGTTGCACCACAGAGATCATCTCAACTTGAAACATCAGCAGTATAGCATATGTCAGTTAGCCACTGACTTCACACTGCCTCCTTCAGATAGAAGATTCCTTCAGAGGATTAGTGGAGAGTTAGTGTACTCAGTTAAGGAGATATTGGTGGAGCACCAACAGTACTTACTGTAAGACTTTTAATTTTTGGAAACTTTTTATTTTGTTAAAACAGAAGGAAAAGTGGTAGGATTTTATAAAGTAAACAACATAGACTTTTGAATCATACCTGGATAATGTATTACAAACCATCTCACTCTAGCCTTTGTGAATGTTATCAACATTTGCTGAACTTCAGTTTCCTCAATTATAATGTGGGCATAATGATGCCTATTTTATAGATGGGCAGTGTCAATTCGATGTATTTTGAAACTATCCTGGAAGTGCCTGAAACATCCTAGATGCTCAGTAAATGGTTATTACTTGCCTTATGAACCATTACTTGTGTTATATTCCTTAACAATGGCTTATATTTATAGAGTGCTTGAAAGTTTGCTAAGTTCTCCTGTATACATTAACGTATATAAACTTTCATAGCCAAATAAAATATAGAGGCAAATCTCTGAAATTAAAATGTTTTATTTGGAAGAAAATAATTGCAATTCTGGGCATATACATAGACCAGCTGGTCTTCTATATGTCCAAAGAACAAAGAGAAGATGAGAGATTTTGTAAAAAGGATAAATGTTATGTATTTCTCTTTGAAAAAAATTCATTGGCATTGGTAAGGTCTTGAGGAACTGGCAAGTTCTGATTAGTGAGTGACAGCAGTGGCAAACTAGTCTTAGAGTTGCAGCAGGTCGTTTCAGTAGCCACTACATAAAACTACTTTTAGGTTATATCAGGCAGTTTCAGTTGTCAGGCTGAACATTTTGGAGCAATGTTTTGTGTCCTGAATGCTTTTTGCCCTGGCCTCTCAACTTGGTTTCTGCTGAGTATGACAGGAATGACCCAATTCATATGACAAACTTTTGCAAAACTTTAACAAGATCCTTTGAGGTCAGTAGGACTTGAATTATTTGACGTCTTTTACAGGTCAGCAAATGCAGGTTCAGAGAAGAAGTATGGGAGATCAACTATACTCTTTATCTACTGCTGGATAACGAATGACTTTTAAACATAGAAGCTTAAAATTCTACACATGTATTATCTCACAATTTCTGTGGGTCAGGAATTAGAACATAGCTTTACTGGGTTCTTTGCTTCGGAGTTCCTTAGAAGACTGAAATCAAGGTGTTGGCTCAGGCCTCTCACAGGCTGCAGTTAGATGTTGGTAGGAGGCACAGTTATCTCAAGGTTCAGCTGGAGCTAGAGCCACTTCCAAGTTCACTCAGCAGTTGTTGGTAGGATTTTGTTCCTCATGAACTTGTGGACAGAGAGCCTCCATTCCCTGACATGTGGATCTTGCCAACATTATCAAAATGAGCAAGTAAAGGAGGCAAAGGAGAGGTGGAGTGCCAGTAAGAAAGAAAATTCTAGAAAGAGATAAATTATAGCCCTTGTAACCTTATCATTGTGGTGGCATCTCATTATTGTTATTGTATTTTATCTTTAAACATATGTCATTTGGTTCAGTCCACACTCAATGTGAGGGAACAATACAAGAGTATGAATACCATGAGATGAGATCATTGTGAACCATGTCAGAAGCAGCTGACAGCAGGAACCAAGGTTTTTTGTTATTGTTGTTTTGTTTCGTTTTGTTTTTTTGCTATGTCAGAAGTTGTGCTCGTATATTATGTAATATAAACCATACAACAACCTTGGTAGGTAGAAATTACTATTTTCTTTTTACTTTTGGCAAAATGGGGGCTTTGAGTAACCAACCTACATGGTCACATTGCTAGTAAGTAGCAAATCTGTGCCCAGATTATATGATGTAAATAGAATGCAAATGATCTGACTTCTATTAGATTTCAGGAACAACATTTGATCAATGTCTGTGCCTTGCAGAGTGCCTTGTTTTATAAAGTCTGAATTCAAAAAATACTTGAGTAAACACCCCAAAATGCTAACCAAAGGAATTTTTTTATTTTCTTCATTAATCTTGTTAAAATTCTAAAGTAAATTTTTCCAGATATGTGCAGAAAGTGGATAAAATAAAGATAATTCTCTTAAAGGACAAATAGTCTCTTCAATACCCCTTCTCACTCTTCAGCATGTGGTGGGAATTATTTTCCTTGTAAAAGCAGAGTGAATTGAATTCTGCCCAATTTGTCAATGCTTACGATTGCATTACTATGCAGTCCTATGTCACTCATAGCTTATCAGATTTTAAATTACCATATAAATTTCCATAGTTAGACAATATAGGAAACATTAGTTTAAGAGCATCTAATCTTATTTTCAAAGTTAGATAAGAAATAATCAACACTTTAGAATGAAAGTGATACCCCTAAGCTGGAAAGTGAAAGCCTAACAATATTACTGAGATTAATCACCATTAGCTATCACAATCATAATACTTGCAAATAGAAACACTGGTTTAATTAATTGTAACACCTGCAGGGTGAAAGGATCCTGAATCTACTGCTCTGTGGAGAAGTGAAGGCTGGCAGAACAATCCCAGAGTTCATTTAACAAATCTATAAATTAACCTGAAAATACATAATAGAGTGAATTCAAATGCCATTGTAATGGTGAATTCTATTCATATATCTATTCTTACGGTAAAAAATGAGTCTTTTTTTTTTTTTTTTTACATATTCACCTACCTTTTTTGAAATAACTTTGACATCATTTCAAATTCAATCTTTTCATCAACCTACTCATTTCACCACAGGTGGCCCGATAGAATTCATTAGCATCAAAGACAGCGATAAGGTAAAATAAATTAAAGTACAAAGTAAATTTTATGTCCCATTTGAAATTTTGTGCTCGGCTAATTTCATATTCCCTTCACAGCCTTGATTATGCTAGGCTGCACACGTATCTTTCTACCTACTAGATGGTCAACTACTTGAAAGTAGGGAATGAGGCATATTCATTTGTTTCTCTCACTGCATCTGACATAAAGTCTTGTATTTAAGTCAGGACTCAATAAGTGTTAAATAATATATATCCTGTCATAAATAAAAATGGACATTGTCTATAAGACTCTCAGCATTTCAATAATAAACTGAATCCAATTAGAAAAAGGGCATAATAAAAGGTCTTCGAAGATTCAGCTATTATATAAAGCACAGCCATAAGAAAATAATATTATACAGAATACAAACCTTAAGTAAAAATGTTGATCTACATAAATGCTTTTGTATAAAAAGCACATCATCAGAATTCAGCTAATACTTTATAAACGTTTCTCTGTAGCTTGCAGAATCATTAATTATTCAGTTTCATTGGCTAATGAACATTTTAAAATATTCAACCTCACTAATAAAGAAATGAAAATTAAGATAATAAAATTTGATTTTCACCAATAAAATTAACATTTTGTAACTGCAACAATGCAGTGCTAAAGTATGTAGAGAAATCTCACACAAGTACATATCCTACATTGTGCAAACAGACTTTGAGGTTAAAATAACCCAAATGCTCAGTAGTAAAGGAATAAACAAAATAATTATTATATACTCTTATGTTGTAACAAAATCATTAAAATGAAGGCTTTTAATTATATGAAAAAAATGCTTAACATCTGTTGAAAAAGCAAGATAAAAGGTTTATCAATGTGGTTTTAATTTTTAAATTACATGCACATAAGGAGAAAAAAGTCAGTATAATATTATCAGGTATTATCTCCAGATGATAATATGAAAATTTGTTGTCTGTCTATACCTTTATCAATTTATGACATGTAACTGTTTATAATCAGAAATAACCTTAATATTAGAAAATAGAAGTATAATGTGAGAGACAAACTCTTTAGACAGTATATAATTATATTAAAAGGTTATTCATATCAAGTGCTGAATTAAATTTAGATATAACATTTTTTATTTTCTTCCTATAAAATCTTAGAGAATGGGAGAAATTGGAAGGAAGCAAATTTTCAGATATTTTAAAGGTGAATTTTACATACAAAACTCAATACTTATGAATTGAAAGGTGTCTGGGAAGTATGATGGAAAGTAAATATGGGAATGTAGATAACAGGGAGCGGATGACTCTATTGCTAGTCTGAATATCATTCTCCACAATGAAAAAATTGTATAGAGCTACCAGTGGCAAAATTCAGCTGCTACAACCTCCTTTCAAGTCTTGCAAGAAGCTTTGTTAGGACAGTGTAGCTATTGAAACTTTTTAGAAAATTTATTTAGAAAATTACTTCTTTTCAGCCAACTTTTAAAATACTGTTTATTTGTTGGAATTTTTATAATGCTATAATTTATTAAGCTACTCATCTCAAAGAAATATTAAAGTGCTTTTCATTAAATGGAATGTTTATATAGTCAATTTTTTGTAATGCCTATAAGTGAAGGGGTTCAAGGTATTGTTCATTTAATCTATTATTTTTATTCATATATCTAAAATCTCTAACCTTGGAAATAAGCAGTAAGCATGGAAACATTGGAAAAGCAATAAGAAAAAAGAAAATTTAAAAAAAAGAATAGAAAACAGAATTGTACATTACAAGTACCTATGTGAGTCTAGGGTTTCTTTAAGGAAACACTGTCTTTTATTCTCAGTCAGCATTTCTGACTATGGTTGGCCTACTACCAGATATGGACATGTAACCCAAGTTTGCAAAATCAGATTATTCCACTCTCCATCTTTTAATCAATTATTTAGTCCAGGTCTTGAGATGAAACAGTTACATAAGCAGAGCTACTCTGAGTTGTGTATTTTTTTTTCCACAAATAAAATGTTCAGTGAGCAGAGAAGGCATTTTCTTTCTACACTGTCTAGAGCATCAGATGTTGATCTGTGCACCATGTGAGGAGCTTTCTTAAGAATGAAGCAACACAGGGGAAACTATAATACATAAAGAGAGAGAGAAAGTTACAGAGGGAAGTAATTCTGATGACCTAAGCGGAAACTAGTATCTATCTAGACATTTCTGAATTCTCAGTTGCATGAACTGCTATATTGGCATTGAACTAGCTTAAACTAGCTTTATCTTGAAACCATAAGGAGTTCCATATTCAGGACTACACTCTGTCTATCACAAAAACCACAATAGCAACAAAACAATCTACAATTTTCTTTTGCTACTACCATCTTCAGGTGGACTCAAATCTCCATGACAGTAGTAAAATTCATGTAGAAAAAAATAAATAAATAACCATTTCTACAATCATGTTTCTCAGCCAAATGTCATCAGATCATAAGAAATAGTTCCACCATTTTATAGTCTACATTAGAGGTTCCTCCAAGTAGTGATACCTATAAGAAAAAAAAAATAGGTGGAAAAACGTGAATTTATACAAACTCTTTTTTTATGCAGGCTGTAAAAGTCAATGGGCATAACACATGGGACATCAACAGTCAGTCTCATTGCAATGCCTTCTATTTACAGCCCAAGTTTGAACATTTATCTGTTGCCTACAGCCAAGGTTCTTCTCAGATCTCCCCTTACAATAGAGTTAGATAATACACATATTACCACATTTCTTATTTCTATTTCCAACCTTTGCCTCTGGCTGTTTGTATTTCTGTCTAGGTAATGTTAGACAAGGTCATCACAACCAGGGCAGCTAAAAGTTGGGCTGGTACAGAGTTCTTGGATATTCTCACTTTTGGGTGAAATTCTTCCTCCTTATCCTTTTTCTGCTAGCTTTTTATGAAAGTACCTCCTCCTTAATATGCTGATCAGGACAATTCAGTATAGCAACAAAGAACTCATGTCAATATTTTTCCTTAGCCCTTGGTCTTTACCTACATGTAACATAGCAGTTAAGAACATGGTTGCTGGAATCAAATTGTGGGGTTGGATTTCTGGCCCTACCAATTACTAACTTTATGATCATGAGCAAATTACTAAATCAGTTTATGCCTCAATTTTCTCATATTTAAAAATGGGAGAATAAGAATACCTAAATCATAAAGTCATGATTAAATTATACTTTTATTATTTACTTAAGCTATAATTTTATTATTATAAAATATAATTATTATTGTTACTATCATTATTATTACCATATTTTTGGTAGTTTGCATACATATTATGTCAGAGATCTTTAATTCTTTAATAAAATATGTTCTTCATTTTTAGATTGCATGAAAGGCTTTAGAGAACATGTATTTTTAAAACTTCAATTTATATTAGAGAAACTGAAGAAAGTTGATAAAGGCACAGAGAAGCTAATAAGCTGGACTAAGGTCACTCAGGTAGAAAGTGGTGAAAGTGGATTTAAATGTAGTTATCTGACTCTTTACATATAGGTATTTGACTCTTAATGTTAACTATTACGCTATATTTATGCCATCTTCATATTATATGTAAAATATACTCATGCTTTCAAGATTATTTATCTAAAATGAACTCAATTATTTATCTATATGCATATTCTATTTTCTACTCTACTGTGAGATAATTTTCAGATTGGTAAAGGGGATTTTTATTGCAATAAAAAGGTTATGATTATCAAATTAAAACCATAAGTCTTTTGTAGCACATGAGTTAGGAAGCTTTTCTTTAAATAAAAGGATTTTTTTTTAGTTCTAAGCAGTATTCCTCACATATATTTTTGTGGTTAAAAAACATTTGCTGTGTCTCAGAAATCAAACTTAACAAAGTGTTTTGATCACTTATGTGATAATATAATGATGAGTAACTCTTTTACATGAAGATTTAACTCCATAAAAATCAAGGTTTGCTTCTTAAATAGGAACTTGAAATATTCTATCTGAAAAATTACTAATTAGAAACATGATGATTATTTGAATAAACAAAGCTAAGTGTTTAATTCTACTAGTTGCTGAGCCTATCTATTTCAACTTTGCATTATAGCAATGGGAAAGCAGACATAGACGCAGACCAAAACTCCATTTATCACCTGACATCCAAAGCACAGCTACCATCGCTTCAGACTCAGTATCTAATAACCTCATTTCTTTTTGTCAGTACAGTTGCAAGGTAAATGATTTCAGGTCCTTTAAGGAAGGTATCTGGAGATATGTACTTGTAGTATCGTCATAGGGTCCTTCCTCAAAGTGACAAAGCCCCATTTAAAAAGGGACTCCTGGCCAGGGGCGGTGGCTCACGCCTGTAATACCAGCATTTTGGGAGGCCAAGGCGGGCGGATCACAAAGTCAAGAGATCGAGACCATCCTGGCCGACATGGTGAAACCCCATCTCTACTAAAAATATAAAAAATTAGCTGGGCATGGTGGCGTGTGCTTGCAGTCCCAGCTACTGGGGAGGCTGAGTCAGGAGAGTCGCTTGAACCCAGGAAGCAGAGGTGACAGTGAGCCAAGATTGCCACTGCACTCCAGCTTGGGCAACAAAGTGAGACTGTCTGAAAAAAAAAGGACTCCCAGGACCTAGCCAACATGGTGAAACCCCGTCTCTACAAAAATAAAAAAAAATAGTCCAGCATGGTGGCATGTGCCTGTAATCCCAGCTACTCGGGAGGCTGAGGTGGAGAAATCGCTTGAACCCGGGAAGCAGTGGTTGCAATGAGCAGAGATCTCACCACTTCACTCCAGCCTGGGCAACAGAGCGAGACTCCATCTCAAAAAAAAAAAAAAAAAAAAAAGGACTCCTAGGGCCTGGTGCAATGGCTCATGCCTATAATCCCAGCACTTTGGGAGGCCAAGGCAAGAGAATTGCTTGAGGTCAGGAGTTCCAGACTAGCCTGAACAGCATAGCAAGACCCTCTCTCTCTCTCTCTCTCTCTATCTATATATAGTACATATGTATATATGGGGACTCCTAGTGTATAGACTGGTTCATATTTGGGCATTGGGTGAAAAACTATGACTATTTATTGTGGTGATTCAGGTCAGGCTTTTGCTCAACAGACTTATGACTTTTGTTTGTTTTATTTTGTTTGTTTGTGTGTGTGTGTGTAGTTACACATATCAAGTTGTATTTTTAGTCAATTTCCAATCTATTCCAGTCCTAGGTATACCAAGATCAGTAAGCTACTACAGAAAGTGTCTAATGGTCATATCATTCTGATCATTGTTCAAGCCTCTCGGCCCTATGGTAACCATCTCCACCCTATGGTAATCATTCCAAGACCTCTACTAAAATCAAGGGTTCCCAGTGGTTTCTTTAACAATCATTCAAACATTTACATTACTTGAAATTATATTTGAACACTACTGGTAAATCTCTTTCTGTTGTTTTCTAAATTTAATCATTATCTTTTTAGTACATATGAATTTCTGCACAGCACCAGTGGCTGCAGAGTGCTCTGCAAGTGAGTACAACATAGACCTTCTCCAGCTATGTGCTCACTGACTTCTCAGTTAGTCAGATTGCCTCTGCTGTACACACAATATTTATCATCAATGAAGTTCTTTGATTCATGTGTGAATATAGAGTACAAGCACATAACCCCATTTTTTTCCCAATTCTATAACGGCAAACTATGAAAAACAATGCATTCTTTCCCCTTAAGTTTGGCACCAAGTCACATTTGGTAGCCAACCTTGAACTAATGTTAACATTGATAGTATTATTTACACTAGTATAAATGTTGAGAAACAATGATGTACAACATCACAGAGTATTAATGGAGTTGTTACATAATATATGATATACACAGAAACTTATTGACTTCAAATGTTTCAGATAAAAAATTAGGGCTGGGCACGGTGGTTCACCCCTGTAATCCCAGCACTTTGGGAGGCCAAGGCAAGCGGATCACTTGAGGTTAGGAGTTTGAGACCAGCCTAGCCAACATGGTGAAACTCCATCTCTACTAAAATTACAAAAATTAGCTGGGTGTGGTGGTATGTGGCTGTAATCCCAGGTATTTGGGAGGCTGAGGCAAGAGAATTGCTTGAACCCAGGAGGAGAAGGCTATAGTGAGCCAAGATCGTGCCACTGCACTCCAGCCTGGGTGACAGAGTGAGACTCTGTCTCAAAAAACAAACAAACAGAAGATTATATACCTTTATATTGTTTCTTTCTTGATTTAAATTTGATTATTATTTCCCTATTTTTTACCTATCCTAAAAGGTATGCATATTTATTATTTGCAAAGAATTTTTGTGAAATAAAACCGCATTGATTTTGTTCGTCTTCTAATTTTCTACTTTTGGTGGCTGACTGATTTATTCATTCTTATGAGACTTATTTTTTTGAGACTTATTTTTTTATAGAAATTGTCAAAAAATCTTTATTTTTTAATGTAATGAATATACTTAATTTGTTGATAATGAACCATTTTTGCCATTCAGGATTTTGACTATTAAATAAGAAATCATTTTAGTACTTTGCATTTTGTTTATCTTATGATTACATTTTAAAACTTGTATACGGTTTGCTTTAAAGCATTTTTAAGAACATAAATTATCTCTTCTGTTTTTTGTGGGGTTTTTTGTAAGAATCAATTAATTTTTGTAAGAAACTGAAGCCATAAGGCCTACAGTCTTTTTAAGTAATTTATTTTCAACAATTTTTTGAATAATTATTTTCCATAATTGTTTTCTCCTGGCTGAAAGTCTTATTTGTCACTGGAAATCATATCTTTTTTTTTTTCACATTCAAACTAAGCCAACTGTGCTAGCATCTTTATAAAAATACTCAGTAATTAGGCCTTATATTTTGTCTTCAAGAAATTTGGTTCTCCATACTAGGCCACAGTTAATCAACCTAATGTGGAATAAGAATGAAATAAACGTATTTTTCCTATTTGAAAACACTGTCACCTCTGGTTCTTCTCTGATCTTTCCCAAGGAACAGTTACAGCCAGCAGTATCCCTGTTGCAGTCACTTCTGAGCTGTGGGGCTGTGGTGTCCTCCTGTGGACAGTGTCTGTGGACAGTGCCACTGAGGAGTGTGAATGCTACCCCGTGTTCTCTGCATCACTTCCACCTCACAGTCTCTTAGCACTAAACTATGAGCTTAGGCAATGGAATCCTGCTCTGTCACCTCACTCCACCTTCCTGCTCCTGCCTGTGAAAGTTCTCATAGGCCTCCCGATGTTTTCTTTTACATTTGACAAACAAGAAAATTGTAGAATTAATGCCAGGATATGACATATCTTGCAGTGAAATCTGAAGGAAGTCAATGCTTTCTCATCTCTATCCCAAGACTTCTTCTCCCATGAGGGGTATAGACACTGCATCTGTAGTGGTGAAAGGCTATTTCTTTCTACCCTCTGAAAGTTTGATATCTGGAATAAACTTGACAGAAGACAGACCAACAGGAGACTAGACATACAGATTTATTACATGTTTATTTACTGTGGTTCCACAAAGTATGAGACTTTAAGAAGGATCAGATGATTGAAGCTTAAGCAGCATTTTAAGCTACAGGGGGGAAAAAATCAGTGTTTTAAGTCTCCTGGAGGATGGTGGCAACAGCTACGGAAGGGTGAGGAGAGGACCTGCACTGCTAACAAAGATTGTCTTATTATGTAGATTAAGTCTGTCAGATTAGAGCCCTCAGAATAGGCAAAAAGTTTGTCCTGGCGTGATGAGCGCATCACAAGTGTATTGAGAACTTCAATCTCCCTTCCTGTGATACAAATTAACCTTTTCTGGTTCATATAGATTCCAGGGAGGAGTTTCATTAAAATTGCATTCTTTCTGGAGGAACTCCCCTTAGACAGATAAAGAAACTTCAGAGAAAGCACCAACCTGTGCTTTGGGAGAGGGAGATAGTGAGCAATGGTGGAGAAGGGGAGGGAAGGAGACAGGAGAAGCTCAGACATCTAGACCTTGGTTCTCTGGCTACTTCTTTAGTGCAAAGTGCTCAGCATGTCAAAGTGACATACTTTGGGGTATTGCTTTGTGCACCCCACCAAGTCTCAGGACATCTCTCTTCCTTCTCTTTTGGGAAAGATGGGAGTGCGAGGTAAGTAACAGAAGATTGAGCTCAATCTTCTGTATATTATTTCATTATAGCAATTTTTGTCACGACCCATCTAATATGTAGTGGGTAAAGAAGTGATGGGCTTTCAACCAATATTCATGCTGTCTTGATCCCCAAACTTTTCTCTAAATAATGAACACATTAATTTCCCAACCCTGCAAATGACTGCTTTTTCTAGGGATGGAGAATTTCATCTAGCTCAGCAGTTTAAAGGGCATATTAAAGAGCACTTTTTGTTATACCCCCTCATTGTCCTACTGCAGGGTCCCGCAGGTCCCCCTGCTTTCTTTCCGTGTCCTGACAAAATCACAGAATGCCTTGGCTGTTCTGTGACCCAGCCAGAGGCAGGTTTTTCCCAGCTGGCTTGAACTCAAATACGGCTTTTGAACATTCCCAGGCACTGATAAAAAGTATGGAGGTTTACCACTAAGGAACTGGCCCTGGCTGTGAGCAAATTCCTTAAACCTTCCTATAAATTCCATCCCTTGATGCTTTTGCTGCAGACGTGGGTAGGTCAAACATCCTTTTTCTGTCCTTGTCCTGCTGAAGGACTGCTGCAGCCCACTCTGCAGCTCAGTTTTCCGAATAAATGCTTTGAACTGATTACCCTGGTATTTAGTGTTTCTTTCTTTGGAACCCAGCTGGTCCCATCTTGGGATGGTTTGGGGCACTTGTTTGTAAGAATTCCCGTGCTGCTGATTTTGGAGTGCCTCCAGCCTCAGGTTTTTCAGGAGAAAACACCAGTCACCCTGTGCTTTGTCACAAAGCAGCCATTTTATCCTACAGACAGCAGTACTTTCAGGTTTTACAAGCTCTCTGAGTTTTGTTTGCTTTCAGTCTCTGGCTTATAATTATACAGACACACACACATGTTTGTGTGTGTACATGTGTGTGTGTGTTCTATAAAAAAAATCTGCATCAAATAAAAACTTTTCTGTCTCAAAAGCTTTACCCTACTTCCTGTTATTGTTCTTCATCTTTAAGCATCTGTTATCAAGCAAGTAATGCAAGCAGAGAGACATTGAACACACAGCAGGTTAAGTGTTTATTTGCTTTCTCATTTAAAAGTGAGACTGCATGGGGTAAAGCGCAGAATGGCCACAGCTCTTGCTGTCCAACATTCAGGAGGTGTGAGCCAATGTGCTCCTGTTGAACTCAATTGCATAACGCTGTAACATTTCACAGTATTTAGGGTTGTGTTAAGTATCTTTAATTCAAAGTAGAGAGGGGCTGTCCCTAGAAACAGAGTGGATGCTGTGCAAGGAGCCATCAGCCTGTGACCTAGATTTCAGAGTCAGGGGGCCTCCTGCCACACGCAGTCTGTTAACAGTGCCCACAGGGAAAATACAAACAAGAAACACCTGAGGTTCAAACACAAGCACTAAATGGAGACACTTACATCCCTGACTTCTTCATTTTAAAAAGAGATTTTTATTGTAAGAATTACAGGTAAATGTACTGGGGCCTGAACAAGAGAGGACCAATTTAACACTTCCAAAGGGACATCAGCCCTGACGGAAAGAAGAAAACACAGAATGAAGTGTTCTCCACAGGATCTCTTAATGGGTCACCAGTCTGTGAGGTCACAACCACGTAGGGAAAAACTTACATTTTCTCACTAATGTAAGAAGCAAAGAAGAGGCAAAAAAGGGAAAAGAGTTGATTAATTTTCTGGTTGGAATTGACTTTGCTGCTTCTGTGAGAACATGATGAGGAAGGCAGTAGGATGTATAATAAATCTAGCCCGGCTCCACCGGCTGGGAGACAATATTGCTATGCTAACAGTTCTGGGGTCATAATCCCATAATTCAGTGGTTTCACTCCAATGCATGTTCCACATCTTTTCCCACTGTGCTCATTTACAGTCCCAAACAGTTTCTTCCTGTCACTTCCCATTCGTGTCGCCTATTTCCATGTTTTTTCTTTTCTTTAGAGATAGGCCCTGTCACAACCCATCTTACTTCTGACTCATTGTCATCTTTCCTTGAGCTGTTCCAACCCCTTTTTTCTGCTGTCTCACTCAGTTGCCATCACCTAAAGGTTAATGAGGCAAACCTTCTCCTGGGTGAAAATGCTCCGTAGGGACTTTCTACAGCTTGGGAATCATGACCATCATCTTTTTTCTGTGTTTATGGCACACTTCAATTTCAGGGATGTAAGCTGTTTAGGTTTTTTTTTTTAAGTTATAGGAATCAAAAGGATGAAATTAGCCTTTAAAAATCTAAAATATTCAGAGACTCTCTGTGAACTGCTTCTTTTATTTCCCTTTGCTCCTTTGCTGTAATAATATTGGTGGTAGTCTGTGTGTGCTTGTGTATGCAGGAGGGCCAAAAGGTTGGAAGGATGACTAGAGGCTGTACTTGCTCCTGTCATAATCATTTAACATGTGTTAAGGAATATTTTAGGAAAGAGTCAACATCATAGATTTTAGTTAACTCTGCATTTGAGTTTGCAATAGAAAGTTTCCAAATCCTGATTTGTTCTCTCTCCACTAGGTTTTTAATGAAAGCCATTAAAACTGTCTTCTCATGACTATGGACACAGGATTGTAGTTAATGTTACAGTGTAGTTAGTGTTATATACTCTGTCCCTGGAAGCTTATAATGCTTATCATAGAATAATTTCATTTAAGATAGATTTCCCCAAATCTGAACTGATCAAATTTATTTTATGATTGAAAATTTCTAAATGCATACACTCAAAAAAAAAACCTTATGTATTAGTTGTTGTTTGTGGATTTATTGTTACCATTAAGAAATTTGAATGTGTGTCTGTGGGTGTCTGTGTCATATAAGTATATAGTATCAACAATATATTTTTTAAAATATGTGAACTAACATTGTTTTAGAATGCAACATAGAAGTTATATACTACTTACTACAATTATTTTCCCCTACTAAAGTCTTAGGATTCCTTGAGTGGTTATCCTTCTTATCCAACATTATATTAAAAACTCAGCTATTTATAATATTATTTCATTTATACAGACATCCAGATATTTTATTATAAGGGCTACTGTTATTAAGAGTGTGGATACTGGACCTAGATTTTCTGGGCTCAAATCCTGGTTTCTCCACTTATTAGCTGTGTTACCTTATCACATTACTCAATTTCCCTTTGCTTTAGTTTTCTAATCTTAAAACAAAACAGATAAAATTTATATTTGCCTCTAAGAGTTTTTACAAAATTTAAATGTGTTAACACATGTTAAATAACTAAGGGTAAGTTTTCCATAAGTGCTAGGTATTATTATTACT
The DNA here is from genome assembly GCF_000001405.40 of Homo sapiens. Lineage (NCBI taxonomy): Eukaryota > Metazoa > Chordata > Mammalia > Primates > Hominidae > Homo > Homo sapiens. Next base: position 86,177,930 of record NC_000003.12, read on the forward strand.
TTTACTATTACAGCCTCTATATGTAAGCCTAATTTGTATTTTCAAGGTCTCATTTATTTTTTCTTGTAGCTCTTGCATGAGGCTACATATTTTCTTTTGTCTGGTATTTAGTTAAACACAGAGATACTATTGCCATTTATTATGAAATCAATGTCATGGCTTTGAAGTGATATTTAATTTCCCATAGTCTTTCCTTTTAACGTAAGATGTTTACATCTCATACAATCTTCCCATATAGCTCTCGACATCCATCGCCATATCTGATGGCAAAGTTTTCCGAATGTGGTGTTACAATTATTGTACCCTCTATCTGTAGAGTTTAAGTAATTTATTTATTTATCAGTATTATTTATTTATATTTTAAAATTGTAATTATTTTATTTATATATTATTATTTATGCATTGCTATTCTTTAATATTACTTATTTATTAATAACTGTCTAATAATATAAATAGTGATGATTGATGCCCCTGAAGCAAAGTAGAGTACTGGCCAGAAAGATAGGAGAGGATCCTTACCTCAGTGAAAGAATGGCATCTCCCCTCACGGTGTTTACGAGCTAATTCTATGCTAGTATTATTTTTTTTAAGTAGATGAAGCTAATTTTGAAAGTTTGGGTTTTAAAATGTTACTGAGCCTTCAGAGAAGATCTGTAATGGAAAGAGGCTAAGAGGAAAGGAATTTCATTTTCCCATAATAGCTTTTGTTTATTCATGTCTCTATCCCTGCCTTTTCTAATCTTTTAAAAATAAGCCTTAGAAAACAAAAAGTTGGAGGCACATGGAAATAGGCTTTATAATTTTACCTTTTTATAATTCTGAAGCTACAACTGACCCTCCTCAATATGGTCTTCCTTTTTAACATTAATTACCTTGTTATCTGAGAGATGCAGCAGCTCTCCCCTGTCTGCTTAGGAAGAGTGCCAGCAGGGCAACAGTTGGAAGTGAATTACCATGATTGTTTGGGGCTTTAGAAAGCCCTCTCCACTGTCTATTCTTCTTAGACTCCTGCTAGAGTCACTTGGGTATGTTTTTTAATTCAGTATTCCTGTGTCCACTGTCCAGTAAACGTATGTTTATACTGTATGTATATAACCAATTATACTGTGGCTAGGGCCAATGTCTCTTCTGGATTCTTCACATGCCAATGATTAGAAAACCTGGTGTAGGACTCCTGGGCATGCCCTCAGTCAAGAGGTGAGGCGAAAGGTATATTCCATTTGCCTACATATTTTGCTCTTTCAGATGATTGTTTATGACCACTGGGGTGAGCAGGCATTTTGCTTTGTGTTCCTCAACATTAATGTTTTTTCTACTCAGCAGAGACTAGTGCTTATGAGCAAGAAAGTTAAGATTCAGGACCATTATAAGGGTATTGAAGTGAACACATCCAGTCTATTTACTTAGTTTGATTATTTTGACTGTATCCATTTGTCACTTCAGCTTAAGTCCAGTTTGGCCAATTTGATTAAATTGACTGGTTCTTTCACTGAAGTGACCAGTCAATGCTAACAAATTGGTTGTGTTTGTAGAAACTCATTAGGTTTTATCTCTTGCATTGTGTCTGCAATAGATACGGAATCAAGAATTTGACACGGACTTTGCTTTTAGTTCTTATGGCAAAGGGTGTGGAGAAAGGATCGTGTCTGGAATTTTATAGATTTGCGATGGGAAAAATACCATTATTGATTTAGACTACGAGCTAGCTCCCAGGTATTAATTATTATCAAGGCACTCATGTTGTGATTACATTGTGCTTTCTTGAAAAGTCTTTTTTTTTTTTTTTTTTTTAATAAACACTTGGTATTACTCTCTCCTTACTTTGAGCACCCAGGTAGTCAATTAATGTGTGACCTGGAGGAAAGTAATATCTCCAGCAAGTGTCATGCAAATTGTTTCTTGGAAAAGAAGAAACTGCTTTCTTGCCAAGAGGAACAGTGCTGACCATCAACATGATTCTGGTATTTGAGTTTCATTTATTTCAAACTTCTTGTTTCCTATCCCAAGGGCCACATATCTTCAAGGCTTCTGCATGTCGGCTGTGTAATTGCTGTAATAATAATCTGGTGTAGCTTTCTACTATCCAGCAAAATAATTTTCTGGCATTTTTGTTTGTGACCAAGCAACAGTTTTAGCTACTAGTTGTATTAATCACAAAAAAAATTATGAGAATAAATTAGAAGATGAGTCTATCACCATCTTTTTGTGCTATTTTTATTTGAAATAAAATATATTCTTTTCAATGCTTGTTGCCTGGCACCATAAGGCATGCTCTGTTACCAAGGAATGCAATGGGAGCGTGTAGGAGAATCCGTGGTATATCTACTAGGAATCTCTGACTGCAGACAAGGGAATCTAAAGCCGACTAATTTAAGCAATGGGAAATTTCGTGGGTTAATTTATGGTGCTCACGGCAATAATGGGATGCTGAGTAAACAAGGCAGGAAGCAGGGCAGATTCCATTACTCATTTTTATATGTCTACCTCCTTAAAAATTAAGAAGGCATTACCTTTGTATATAAAAAAGAAAGTTTCAATTGGATTTTACCCTGACCCATAATCTTAGTCTCAGGAGAGGAATCTCAAAGCCCTGAACATGCTTTCTTAGAACGTCAACCCCCATTAAATCTGGGCTTTTAAGTGACAGCAAGATCATTCTGCTATCTATCTTCAAGATCCTAGTAGTGTTTATCTGATTGAATATGTCCACTTTAGAGAAGCATGTCTGTAATACATGATATTACCTAGGAATTGCATTTGTTAGCATCTGTCTATTGGGTTTCTGAACATTCTATTCACTGAGAAAAACAACAAACAAACAAACAAACAAACAAACAAAGTAGATTCTAAGCCAAAAAAGGAACACACTGTTAACTGGAAACTTTCAAACATAAATGATAGGATTACCAAAAAAATGGTCAACTCCTATTGTTGCAGTAGCATGCATTAGCAGGAGGGTGGCATGAGTGTGAAGCTTTGGTTGATCCTGGGCAAGGCTGTGAGGATATGAGTAAGAATGCTGGTAGAAGAATAAAAGCTGACTCCAGCCTTTGACTTAGGCTGAAGGGCAGATGGTGACGACTACATGAGGGAGAGAAGGATTGGGAAAGAAGAGGCTGACTACCACTCAAGGTCACTCAGAGTGACCGTTCCTTACTTTTAATAAACTCTCTTAATAACTAATCATCATCAAGTATTCTGACTCCTCTGACAATTCTGGTTTTGTCTTAAGTGTCTTGTTTTTGTTTATTGCTGCATTAAGTCTTAAATATTTTATATTTCTGTTGGGGTTTGTCCTATTTTCTTCTCAGGGTGAGGTGTCAGTAGCAAACCAGATCTCACCAATGCCCTTGTGCTTCCACTGCACTGTGGCTGCTGCTTCCATCACACCAGGATATCACAGTGTCCTAGTTTAGAATTCACATATTTAATGATACATTTTGGCAGTGCTGCATCGTATTTTTTTATTCAGGTATAGAAATACAAATAAATGCTTGACAAGGGCTGAAAAAGTCTGCTTAACATTAAAGCCAATGTAATTAGAGAAACAAAGTTTTTTGAAGAAAGTAGTGTTAATTAAATCTGAAGTTTCATTTCTAGAACATGTTCTACATTAAAAATGCTTGTAAAAAAAGAAGAGTTTTTTTCAATATAAATGAATTTTTACACTAGTTTTCCCTTTTCCTTCTTTTTCTTGTTCTGAATCAATTGTCAATGCCTTTAAGGCATAGTTTGCCTCATAGAAGATCAGAGACAAGTATATTCATCCATTTCTGTATTCAGTAAAAATAAAATTTCATTCAAAATGAGGTGTCAGTAACCTATTTCTGTATGGCTGTGTTTGTTTCAGAGAGACCTCCAAAATAACCACAGAGATGTAGTTAACTAATAATATTGATTGGTTATTCTCTTGTCTGCCTGCTGAATTAAGAATTTATCTGATCTATCCAATAGTGTTTGTTGAGTTTCTACATACCCAACACTGAACTAGATACTATAGAAGAATAAATAGAGATATCAGACTTACCTCTGGTCATTGAATGATTCACAAGTCTCACCTGCTGGATCTTCCAACACAATATTCTTCATTAATAGAAAGTTTTTTCACTGGTGGCATGGGCTGCAGGGTCAGAGTTTCTTCATTTCCATTCTAAGTCATTTTATCAGAGTCAAAATCAGTTACTTAAAATTAAAGGATAAAAGATGAACCCTTTTAGATTCTTGTAGGTAGAGCAATCACATAATTTATCCTGGAAACCAGAACACTGAGAATAAAAAAGGCAATAATAAAACCTATCCCATAAAAAGTAGCCATAAACTAGGATTATCCTAAGCAAGCAAGGACATATGGTCACCTGACTTGTACATGGCATATATTTTTAAAAACCTGGATAAGATATTTTTCAAAACCTAATACAGTTTACTATACCTAAACATTGTACCAGTATTGTTCAATCTAAAAAAATTGGTAAGGAGTAAGTCCTATGAGTATCCAGATATGTCCAGTTGGTCAATGTAAGGCAAAGTTCCTTCAATGTACAATGGTCTTTTACAACTATTGTTAATTACCTACTCGTTTCTCCATCTAGTTAGACATCATTATGCCACCCCTGTGTAAGCCTGTGCATGACCAAGAGTACTCTTTATTTTGTACTTTTAGTAACTGTCTTTATTCAAAACTTGGAAATTTTTTGTTGTAAAAAAATATATATACCAGGAAGCAAACAGCAACTTTTTCACTTGCAATTACATTAATCATGGTCTATTTAAAGCAAGAGCAGTGACTGGTATTAGGTATTTTTGTGAACTATGGTTCGTATTCTGGAATATTAACATAATACCAATCCTCTGCTGCCTAATGGCCCCTGACTCTGACATAATCACTCTAGCGCAGGCTTCTAAACCCCTATCAATAAATTCTAGCTATCTTTAGCTAAAGTGATGTCATGGCCTTGCTCTCTCAGGCAGATTTGATGCTTATTTCTCAAAGTTTGACTTCTTTGAAAAACAGATTTTTCTCCCAGTAGTGTGGAACCTACCAGAATCCTGCAGCCAAATATTGGTTCTTTGGTCAGGCACTTCAAATTTTCACTTTACAAAATATACATAACACCAATAAAATTTAATTAAAATCAAGGTTTTCCTGTAACTTTAATCTGAAATTATAAAAGGAAACTGAATTACAATAAAGCCCACAATATTTGAAAATGTGTTCTAAAGCCAAGATAGCCAACTGCATACAGCCAGGAAGAGCATCTTCCACCAAGAGACCGGAAAGTCAAGAAGACTGGCACACTTGGAGCAGATCTTTGGAAGGGGGCCATTGAGAGTGGATGGGGAGAGAATGCAGACCCTGGGCTGAAGGAGAAGGAAACTGGGAACCCTGTATGGGGCTGCTGAGCAACAGGACTCATTTGTGGCTCCCAGTGACTCCTGGGCAAGAAGTGAGTTAAATAGGGGTGGCTGCCTCTTGCCACGCACCTCCAGAATCCTGCCTCCAGAATCCTAACTGCATGAGACTCCATGATCCCCAAGGACATTTAAGGTGACAGAGAGAGCTGTTTAGAGAAGTAGCAGGGACAGGATTCCAGCCTGCGCTGAGCCCCGATGGTTTCGTGTGGGAAGGGCTGCAGTGGAGCATGGACAGGACACCCATCCCCCAAGGCTTACCATGCTCCTCTAGGTGTCTTTGGACCTTGTTGACTGTCAGACCTGGAGAGAGCAGGGCGGTCTGGCCCTGAGATAGGGACAGTCAGATCTGCGAGTACCCCTGTCTGCTGCTCTCTCCCAGTGTCCCTCCCTGGACACATATGCTTGCAGTGCAACCTCAGATGCCCAATCAAGATGCTTCCCAGTGGCTACCACCATAGCTCCTTCAGTGAAAGATGACACCTAACCCTTCAAGAGCTTCTGCAGATGGTCCCCAACCTATTTGTACCCACTGACTCACAACCGATTCGCACCACAGCCTCCACCCACATCTTTGCCATCATGTACTCACTGACAGCCCACACTGATTTGCTAGTGTTTATGCATGGGTGGACCTCACCACCTTTCCTCCACCAGCACACATGCTCCTACCACGAACAGAACTAGCAGACACTGCCACCTCACCTCTGCTGGTGCACACACACACCTGTGGAAACTGCCTCCCTGCCCCTACAAATGCCCTGCCACTGACAATGTGCATGCACCCCATCATGCTGCCACTGCTGCTAGTAGGTGTGCACAAGTGTAGACCCCAATGCCACTACCTCAGTTAAGGGCTTCGGCCTACACCCCTAATTGGAGTGTTGTTGTCAGTAGACTGCAAACAATTTGTCCCCATCCAGCACAACATGTACTTAACTTCAGGGACCAGAGAGCAAAGTCTTGGGCTTGATACCAGGCCCCCAGGTTAGAGCATGCAATCCAGCAGTGCTTAGCTAAGCCTTGGCTCCCTGAAAACTTCCAGAAATGAAGCCAGTTGAATGAATTCACCTTATACAACAGTCAAACCCTCAAGAACATCAAAGAATATAAAAGCAAAAAGCCACAAAGGACAGAAGCTTCAAAGACTAAAGGAACATCAGCACAGATAGATGAGAAATGACCAGTATGAGAATTCTGGCAACTCAAAAAGCCAGAGTATCTTCTTACCTCCAAACAACAACACTAGTTTCTTAGCAATGGCTTTTAACCAGACTGAAATGGCTGAAATAACAGACATAAAATTCAAAATCTGGATTGGAACAAAGATCATCAATATTCAGGAGAAAGTCAAAACCCAATTCAAACAACCTAAGGAATCCAATAAAATAGCACAAGAGCTGAAAGATGAAACAATTGTTAAGAAAGACAATCTGAGCAGATAGAGGTGAAAAACTCACTGCAAGAATTTCACAATACAATCAGAAGTATCAATAGCAGAATCCTCCAACCTCAAGAAAGAATCTCAGAGCCCAAAGACCCGTTCTCCAAAATTACTGTCAGACAAAAAATAAAGAAAAAAAAATTAAAAAGAACAACCAAAACTTCTGAGAAATATGGGATAATGTAAAGAGAACAAACCTATAACTCATTAGTGTCCCTGAAAGAAAGGGAGAGAAAGCAACTTGGAAATAATATCTGAGAATATCATCTATGAAAATTTCCTCAAGCTTGCTTGAGAAATTGACATTCAAACTTAGAAAATACAGAGAACTCCTGTGAGATACTATACAAGATGACCATCCCCAAGACACATAGAAATCAGAATCTCCAAAGTCAATGTGAAAGACAATATATTAAAGGTAGCTAGAAAGAAAGGGCAGGGCACCTACAAATGGAACCCTATTTAGCTAATAGCATACCTTTTTGTAGAAACCCTACAAGTCAGAAAATACTAGGCACCTATACTTAACATTATTTAAAAAAAAGAAATTTCAACCAAAAATTAAAATTCAACCAAACTAACCTTCCTAAACAAAGGAGAAATGAGATCCTTTTCAGACAAGCAAATGTTAAGGGAGTTTGTTACCACTAGACATGCCTTCCTAGAGGTCCTTATGGGAGTGATACATGTGGAAATGAAAGACCATTACTGGCCACAACAAAAACACACTTAAGTAAGTAAATGATTGACACTGAAGCAAAGGCGGAAACAAGTCTGCATAACAATCAGCTAACAACACAATCATGGGATCAAATCTACACATATGAATATTAATCTTGAACATAAACAGGCTAAATGCCCCACTTAAAATGCATAGAGTGGCAAATGGGATAAAGAAGCAAGATCCAACTGTATGATGTCATCAAGAAACTCATCTCACATGCAATCACACCCTTAGGCTAAAGTAAAGGGATAGCGAAAAATCTACCAAGCAAATGGAAAACAAAAAAGAGGAGGGTTGCTATTCTAATTTCAGATTAAACAGACTTTAAACCAACAATGATCAAAAAAGACAATGAAGGGCATTACATAATGATAATGGGTTCAATTAAAAAAAAAAGACTTAGCTATTCTAAATATATATGCATCCAACACTGGAGCACAAGGTTTATAAAGCAAGTTTTTAGAGGCCTATGAAGAGACTTAGATAATCACACAATAATAGTAGGAGACTTCAACACCCCACTGACATTACTGGACATATTATTGAGTCAGAATTATAACAGAGATATTTGGGACCTAAACTCAACACTTGACTAAACGGACTTAGCAGACATCTATAGAACACTTCGCCCAATCAAAATAGACTATACATTCTTTCCATCTGCACACAGCACGTAATCTAAAATTGAACACATACTCACTCATAAAGCAATTCTCAACACATTTTAAAAAGCAAAATCAAACCAACCACATTATCAGACCACCATGCAATAAAAATAGGACTCAATACCAAGAAGATATTTCAAAATAATACAATTACATAGAAATGAAACAACCTGCTCCTGAACGATTTTGGGGCAAGTAATGAATTAAGGCAAAATCAAAAATGTCTTTGAAACCAATGCAAACAAAGATACAATATACCAGAATCTCTAAAACACAGCTAAAACAGTGTTAAGAGTAAAGTTGATGGTGCTAAAAACCTACATCAAAAAGCTGGAAAGATTTCAAATTAATAACCTAACATCTCACCAGAGGAAAGTGAGAACCAAGCCCAAAGATAGCAGAAGAAAAGAGATAACTAAAATCAGAGTTGAACTGAATGAAGTTGATGCAATAAACCATACAAAAGATCAACAAAACCAAATGTTTTTATTTGAAAGAATAAGATTGATAAGAACGCAATAAACACAATCTGAAATAAGAAAGGAGATATTACTGCTGACCACACAGAAATATAAATAACCAACTGTCAAAGACTATTATGGAAACCTCTATCCACACAAACTAAAAAACCTAGAAGAAGTGAATAAATTCCTGGAAACAACCTCCAAAGATTGAACCAGAAAGAAATTGAATTCCTTAACACACCAATAATGAGTTCTGAAATTGAATCAGTAAAGAAAAGGCTAACAACCAGAAAAAGTCCTGGAACAGATTCACAGCGGAATCCTACCAGACATATAAGGAAGAGCTGATACCAATCCTGATGAAACTATTCCAAAAAAAATTGAAGAGGAGTATCTGTTCATATCCTTCACCCACTTTTTGATGGGGTTGTTTGTTTTCTTCTTGTACATTTGTTTAAGTTCTTTGTGGATTCTAGATATTAGCCCTTTGTCAGATGGATATATTGCAAAAATTTTCTCCCATTATGCAGCCAACAAACATATGAAAAAAAGCTCATCATCGTTAGAGAAATGCAGGTCAAAACCACAATAAGACACCATCTCATACCAGAATGGTATGGCAATCATTCAAAAGTCAGGAAACAACAGATGCTGGGGAGGATGTGAAGAAATAGGAATGCTTTTAGACTGTTGATGGGAGTGTAAATTAGTTCAACCATTGTGGAAGACAGTGTGGCAATTCCTCAAGGATCTAGAACCAGAAATACCATTTGACCCAGCCATCCCATTACTGCATATATACCCAAAGGATTATAAATCATTCTACTATAAAGACACATGCACAAGTATGTTTATTACAGCACCATTCACAATAGCAAAGACTTGGAACCAACCCAAATGCCCATCAATGATAGACTGAATAAAGAAAATACTGCACATATACACCATGGAATACTATTGAGCCATAAAAAAGGATGAGTTCATGTTCTTTGTAGGGACATGGATGAAGCTGGAAACCATCATTCTCAGCAAACTAACACAGGAACAGAAAACCAAACACCGCATGTCACTCATAAGTGGGAGTTGAACAATGAGAACACATGGACACAGGGAGGGGAACACCACACATCCTGGCCTGTCAGGGGCCGGGGGTTAGGGAAGGGATAGCATTAGGAGAAATACCTAATGTAGATGACGGGTTGATGAGTGCAGCAAACCACCACGGCACGTGTATACCTATGTAACAAACCTGCACTTTCTGCACATATATCCCAGAACTTAAAGTATAATAATAAAAAAAATATTTTTTTGAAGAGGAGGAACTTTTTCCTATCTCATTCTATGAGGCCCGCAACATTCTGGTACCAAACTCTGGCAGAGACACAATAAAAAAATAAAATTTCAGGCCAATATTCTTGATGGACATTGATGCAAACATCCTCAACAAAATACTAGCAAGATGAATCTTGCAGCATATTAAAAAAGCTGATCCACCACGATCAAATAGCATTTATTCTTGGGATGCAAGTTTTGTTCAACATATACAAATCAACAAATGTGATTTATCAGGTAAACAGAAGTGACAACAAAAACAGAACAATCTTTTTTTTTTTTGAGACAGAGTCTCGCTCTGTCGCCCAGGCTGGAGTGCAGTGGTGCGATCTCCGCTCACTGCAAGCTCCGCCTCCCGGGTTCACGCCTTTGTCCTGCCTCAGACTCCAGAGTAGCTGGGACTACAGGCGCCTGCCACCACGCTCTGCTAATTTTCTTGTATTTTAGTAGAGACGGGGTTTCGGTATGTTAGCCAGGATGGTCTCGATCTCCTGACATCATGATCCTCACACCTCGGCCTCCCAAAGTGCTGGGATTACAGGCATAAGCTACCGCGCCCGGCCAAAGCAACACAATCTTAATAGACAAAGAAAAGACTTTTGATAAAATTAAATATCTCTTCATGTTAAAACCCCCCAACAAATTAGGCATTGAAGGAACATACCTCAGAATAATAAGAGCCATCTATGACAAACCCACAGCCAACATCTAACTGAATGCGCAAAAACTGGAATCACTTCCCTTGAAAACCAGAACAAGACACTGATGCCCACTCTCACCACTCCTATTCAATATAGTAGTGAAAGTCCTAGCCAGAGCAGTCAGGAAAGAGAAAGAAATAAAATGGATCCAAATAAGAAGAGAGGAAGTCAAACTATCTGTCTTTGCAGCTGTTGTAATTTTATTCCTGGAAAACCCCATAGTCCTGTCCCAAAAGCTCCTGTAACTGATAAACAACTTAAGCAGAGTTTCACAATAGAAAATCAACATACAAAAATTAGTAGCATTTCTATAGACTGAGAATGTCCAACCTGACAACCAAATCATTCACAATAGCCACATAAAGAATAAAATACCTGGGAATATCATTAACGAGGGAGGTGAAAGGTCTTAAAAACACGAATTAAAAAAAACACTGCTGCAAGAAATCAGAGATGACACAGACAAATGGAAAAACATTCTATGCTCATGGATAAAATCAATATTGTTAAAATGGTCATGCTGCCCAAAGCAATATATATATTTAATGCTATTCCTATCAAGCTATCAAGAATGTTTTCCACAGAATTAGAAAAAAAATTCTAAAACTAATTTGACCAAAAAAGAGCCTGAATAGTAACAGCAATCTGAAGCAAAAAGAACAAAACTGGAAGCAATACAGTACTCAATTTCAAACTATACTTCAAATGTGTGGTAACTAAAACAAACAGCATGGTACTCATACAAAAACAGATGCATAGGCCAATGGAAGAATTTCAAGTACTCAGAAATAAAGCTGCACACCTATAACCATCTGATGTTCAACAAAGCTGACAAAAACAAGCAATGGGGAAAGCACTCTCTATTCAATAAATGCTCCTGGGATAACTGGCTAGCCATATGCAGAAGATTGAAACCAGACCCCACCTTTCACCATATACAAAAAGAAACTCAAAATGAGTGAAAGACTTAAATGTAAACCTAAAACTATAAAAACCCTAGAAGAAAATCTGGGACACCAGCCCAGGCAAAGACTTCATAATGAAGACTCCAAAAGCAATTGCAACAAAAACAAAAATTGACTGATGGGACCTAATTAGACTGAAGAGTTTCTGCACAGCAAAAGAAACTTTCAGTAGAGTGAAATGACAACCTCCAATATGGGACGATATTTGCAAACTATGCATCCTACAAGGGTCTAATATTAAAACTCTACAAGAAACTCAAATCAACAAGCAAAAAACAATCTCATTGCAAAATGGGAAGAGAACATGAGCAGACATTTCTCAGAAGAAGCCATACATGTGATCAACAAGCATATGAAAAAATACTCAGTATCACTTATGATTAGGGAAATGCGGATCAAAAGCACAATAAAATATCATCTCACACCAGTCAGAATGGCTACTACCAAAAAGTCCAAAAATAACACAAGCTGGCAAGGTTGTGGAGAAAAATGAATGTTTATACACTGCTGATGGGAAGGTAAATTAGTTTAGCCACTGTGAAAAGCAATCTGGAGATTTCTCAGAAATAGAACTATCACTTATACCAGCAATTCCATTACTAGGGATATACTCGAAAGAATACAAATCATTCTACTTTAAAGACGCATGCACTCGTATGTTCATCATAGTACTATTCACCATAGTAAAGACATAGACTCAACCTAGATGCCCATTGGCAGTAATTGGATAAAGAAAATGTGGTACATATACACCATGGAATACTACAAAGCTGTTAAAAAAAAAAAGACATCATGGTCTTTGCAGCCACAGAGATTGAACTGGAGACATTAACCCTAAATGAATTAATGCAAGAACAGAAAACCAAATACCACATTTTTACTTATAAGTGAGAGTTAAACATTGAGTACACATGGACACAACGAAGTGAACAATAAACACTGAGGCCTTCTTTAAGGTGGAGAGTGGAAGGGGGATAAGGCTTGCAAATCTACCTATCAGGTACTATGCTTATTACCTGAGTGATGAAATAATCTGTACAACAAACCCTTGTGACATGCAATTTACCTGCGCAAGTACCTCCTGAACCTAAAATAAAACTTGGGAAGAAAATAATGAAAATGTATTCTAACTATATTTTTAAAATCATGTGATTTTAGCCAGATATATTAACAAAAATATTTCCATAAACCTATTTAATTAGAAAAGGCTAAGAAAGTAAAGGTCACAAACCAAGAATGCAATAATTTAAAAACTGGCATTAAGTTCAGGGTTTCGAATATCTGTTGCAAGCTTATGGAAGCTGATTTGGATGACACACTTTTTAATAAGCATGCCTATTACTGCCCTAAAGAGTACCTATAAAGAATACATTCAACTTTTATTATGAATTATTTAAATGTATCCCTGGGAATACTTTTGGGCTCCTTTGAACTCAAACTTTTGGGGTTTATTTTTAGAAAGTATTATCTATTTGTAAGGATTGATATTTCATGACATTCTTTTTAAAACACTTCCCAATTAACAAAGAGAATTACATTTTTTAAATACTAAAACTCATTTCATCTTTCTGTTGCCCTGTTGTCATTTGGGCCCTTTTATAAATGAAAGATACATTATGGAAACTTGGTGATCCACTTTTCCTATATCTTGAAATATTTTGCCATTTCATTACCTTGGATTATATCATTACTTATTCATTTTTATGAGTTATTCTAATAAAGATGAAAATAATAAAGAAAGGGAATACTGGGAGTATTCTCTCATAGGATGACACAAGAGTGAAATAAATGATCAACTTCGAATTATTCTTCAAATTTTTACTATATTGTCCAACATATTTTAATATTCTTTGAAAAGGTCTAAGAGAAGTCTGGTGCCACTTTCTTTTTAGCATATTTGTTTGTTTATTTGTGTGTTTTAAGTTTTCATTGAAAATAGTTTTTTTTTTAAATTTCTACCTATAATGGCACTGGGTAGAACACTGACAAAAGAATACATTTAAAGGTTATTAGACAAATGAGATGAATGCTGAGTAAGACAGTAGCACTCAAGAGTCTAATGATGATGGTGAAGTTGAAATTGAACTCTCAGACTATGTACCTTCAGACGACTGCAAATTACATGATTTTTTTCAGACTCCATGGTAAATTAGTTAACAATAATTTCTAATCACAGGAAAATATGATTTTCTCATGCAGTGTTTCATTCAACAGAAAGTACTTCATCAGGCAGGTTTTAGAATAAGGACTTGATGTGTGCTTTTTAGCTTAAAGGACATGTGACAATATATTTCATTTTTTGGGATGTCTGTTTATCACAACGTACATACGTTTCATAAGTTAACAAAAGCTGAGGCTGATGTACATGCAATGATGATTGAAAGGAAATTGATGAAATTGAAATGGAAAATAATTCATTGGCTTTGTTAATTCTAATTAGTGATCATAAATCTAAAAATTAAAATGTTTTACAATTATGAAGCATAGTTGATCACCATTTTCTCTTTTAAAAATTAAAAGTTGTCAAAATATTCACAGGTCCTATATTTTGATAAATACAAGAAGAAAAACAAGAGCAATGACAAACTAGAGCTCTTTGAGATACATTTAAAACTTGGAATCAGTATTTACAAGATTGGCATGTTCAATGTTAATGCATATGAGTTGGTGAATGGTTAGATGCATTCAAAGGATGTTGTGCATTTTGAGTATATACCTTCAAAATCGGAAAAAATATGAACTTGAAACCATTATTTGCTATGTTTAAAATCTTATTAAAGTTTCTACAAAACCTGTTACCTCTTTTTCACTATACCTCTATACTTATATTTATAAGGTCTTCAAAATGAACTAAAATATATTTATTATTAAAATGAACTAAAATATATTTATTATAAATTATTAAATTGAACTCAGAGGGTAAGCGATGATGATTAATTATTCCGGCATACTAGTGTTACCTTGGTTTAAGCAGGCCCATAATGCTTGAGCATGTACGTTTTTGATGATAAATCTCTGTAATTTTTATTCTCCTGCTTTTCTCTCCCTCTCCCAGAAAATATTAAATAAGAAAACATGATTATAATGCTCAGGCACTGTGGATTGTGTGTACTAGTATATTTTGAGAGTTTAAATAATGTGACAGGGCATTCACTGTACAGACTTAGTAACTTGAAAGGGGCAGGAAATTCCTCTTTGGTGAATTAATCAATTATTGAATATTTGCATCATTTAGTGTGATTGTGATTATGGCAGTGAATAAGGCTAAAATGTTTGGCATTGATATATGTATATATAGTAAAGTCTTGAGATATATGTGAGTAGCAATATTTGGGTTAGCTAACTCAATCTGAGTCTGAACTAACACATACCTTGCAGTATGCAGTCTATAGCTCTCATTCTTTTCATTCTTACAGCAAGAACAGCTTTTGAGAGAAGCTGCTTACGTAAGGGTCCATTAAACATTCTGGCAGGATTTACTATGAAATGAAGACACCATAGGAAAATGGGAAACTGGATTTTTATTTTTTTCACTCTACCAGTAGTGATATGTGTGAACAAATCAATCCCTCTCTCTCTTTTTCCTTTTTTTGGTCATCTGTAAGATGAAGGACTGTAATATGACCTCTAAATTCCCTTCCATCTCAGATATCTCTATATCAATATCTTAGATGACGTTTGGACCACCCAGTGATTCAGTTTGGATTCCCATTCCTTTCTGGTTCAAATCTGACCTAAATGGTACTTAATAATTACAGAAATCCCTGGAGTTGGCTGCTCTACAACTTGAGCAGCTTCTCTCATACTTTCTCTATTCCAATTCCTTTCACTTTTCTTTCTATGAAATGACTGATTAATGTGAGTCTTTTCCCTTAATGTGTACAAATAGAACGAAATCAGATCGGTTCACTACTATAACTCTAGAGGCTAGTACAACTTCAAGCATACAATGAAGATAATAAATATTGATCAAATAAAGAACATGATTTAAGGAACAAATAAATGTAGCAAGAGAATATTTGACCTTTTATTTTATCTTGTTTTCTTCTGTGCCAGGGGAAAAAAAAGTTTCCAGAAATTCAGGTAGCACAGTAAAATATCAACTTCTAGGGATTTTTGACAACTTATAAATATTATTCCCTTTTCACTGCAAACTAAATCTATTTCTCATGCTTGCTTGCTTGCTTGCTTTCATACCCACACACAAACAATCGGATTTTCTTGATTTCCGACTCCAATAGAATCAGGTCAGCAGTGAGGATGGAGGCAATAAATCTCTTTATCACTGTTTACTTTTATGGAACTGACACCTCTTAAAATATTTTTCCTGACTTTGGTGCTTTTTTATGACTGATTAGGCAGTAGGGCACGACAGTCAATTGAATCTCCCTGAGTCTAATATTAAAAGCAAAAAAAGGAAAGACCTGAGGGGCAACAGAATAAGTGAAAAGTACTAAAGAAGGTCCAATAATTCCTTTCCAAAAAATCAGAAATTGCATATAAGTGTTAGCTTTTCTGTCTGCCCAAGTGACTGTTGTTGTGGCTCTGACCTTCTCTGTTTTTCATCAAGACAGCATTCCACTGTTTCAGGTTAGTAAGAGATTCAGTTCCTAAGAATTGATTGTTGATAAACGTCTTACAAAGTAAAATGTATGTATCTAATGCCAAGTAGGAAAGAAAACATTTCTCCATTGTGGTGGAATAGACAAGTTATCTAAGATAATGGAAAGTGTAGAACAAAAATGTAAGCTCCAGAAAACTTTATTTGTGTTTATGGGTAAAAAGTTTTTTATTTGGGCATACTGACATTAGCCAAAATGAATCATGAGTAAAACTTGCAACATTAAACTACAGAAGAATATCACAAGTACTGTTTCTTTCAACTCTTGGTAAGAATATAGATGACACCAAGGACAGTAATTGAAGTTATATCCACATGCTTGAAGACGTAATTAAAATTTAAAAAGCCAAACAGAGATTTTTGCTAAAGCATCATGTCACTTAGCTATCTTTTAATAAATAATTTCCCAAGTAGCTTTATTTAAATCCCTTGGGCAATATGAGGAACAAAACCAAAACAAAACAATACAAAAGCCAACAACAACAATGAAAACTCCACTTCTCCCACAATAAAATAAATATCCTCTCTTATCTTAAGAGCCAGTTAATGTTTGTGCAATAATATAAATACTGTGTAGTATAAGAAAGCATGTCATGTCTTACTGGAAGACAATATCTAAGAGCTTCTAATTTCTTCTCCTATTCATGCAGTCCTTTACTCTGCAACTCGTAGAGAGGGCTTACGTTGGAGGGTCTTACAACACACAATAGCTTCTTGTTTATTTGCCCTTAAATGCCCAAAAAGGCTTAGAGAAGAATTATTAAATTTCAATTTCTGTGATTTTACAGCAACAGCTTTCCAGAAATAACCAGTAGATAACATGAAGAGAGGTCATCAAGAAACATGACTGCAGGATGAAAACAAAAATTAATTAGTCTTTTATTTTTATTCTATAAGATTTTCAAAATTGAAAAATTTACACAGTTTACATTTACTTGAAGAACTGCAAAGGTTAAAAACATAAAAGATTCCATGTAAACATAGTCAAAACAAAATACAACAATAGCTCTCTAGGTTTGTCATTCTACTTAGTTTTAGACAGATTGTCATAGAAATGGGTCTAGCTGGTAGAATGTCTTCACGCTCAGTTATTTTGATAGATATTTAATATTTGATAATTCCCACAGTAATGAGAATTTGATGATGAAAATTGTGAGTATTTTTCTGATGTTTGAGCCACTTACCTCTGGGTCAATTTTGTGATATGGCTCCATAATTGGTATAGAAATACGTAAAGGAAGAATTTTGCATAGAGGACCTCAGGATGGAAGTGGTCCATGAAGACACATCCAGGCTTATGTTTGTCCTTCTTTGTGCTCAGCGATGCTTTTGGGTGGAACTTAAATCATCTCAAGGATCCCAGTATGTACTGTATTCTGATTTGCTTTGACATAGATTCAATTCCCTACTTTTCCACCAGAAACCTTGAACCAAGTTTTTAATCTCATAAACCTTGCTTAATTCACAAATAAAAAGAGAGATTTAGAATGGAGAATCTTCACTTTCACTTTCTGTTCCAAAAATTATTAGATTCTTTGACTGTATCTATGTATGTGACCTAGAACTTGGAGTACTGACACAAAAGTTAAACAGAGAACTACAGTTAAAAGACTGTGCGGGCTCCTGCCACCCTTTTCTCATCCCATTTTCTCTCAAGTTATAATAAAGAAATGAGATTAGAAACAGGCAATATGCAAAATTCTAAACTGGTCAATATTTGATTGCAAAATCCAGCAGCAAAAATACAGAAATTATTTGAAATCTAGACTATTATCTGAAATCAATTTTTTAAAAAATTTCTCTGTTTACTCAATCTCTACTTTTCAACTTTTCTGTTCTTTCAATCATATATTACTATCCTAATTTTTAGATTATTTATAAACAATGGCATATGATAAAATGACAGTGATATTACATGTGGGCAACCATTATAATGAGCTCTATCACCGCTTTTTGAGCATTTATTTGCATTTATATTTCCTTCAAAAATGCAAGGTCATATGAGAAACAATGGCAGCATTTGCCGAACTATGAACTATAATCTTGGGAGAGGAAGGTCTGTACAGTTTAAATTGCTAATGTTGACTTTTTTTTTCTTAACTTATAATACAGATGTTAATGTTGAGATACAGGTAAGTAATATTACATTTGCTTCCAAAGTAGTTTTGAAGATCAGCTGATAAATATAAATAGTAAATTATGTTTAGGAAACATATTAATCCAGTGAAAATAACAACTATTGTTATTGGATTAATATGTTCCCTAGACCTAGTTGTTAACAGTTACTATAACAACTTTTATTAATGCTCTTAGAACTGTAGAATTTTATAAAGTTGCATAATGCTAAAGTGATTATTAAATATTCCTCTTCCTTTTTTTGATAGATGAACTATTTTCTGGCAGGTTCCTCCCCTAGCATTGCTCATGATTGTTGTTAATTTTAGCCTGGTGGCAATTAAGAATCCTGGTTTTTCACCATCTGCAGAAGAGTTATTCATTAGGTAGGACACCATGAGGAACAGATAAGTGTCTAAGGATAGATAATTGAAAGTCACTGCAATTCCCCTCAAATACGTTGCCCACCTGTCAGGCTCTTTGGCATAACAAAATTATTTTTCTGTCAAATTTTAGTTTTTCAATAGCTCAAGAGATTCTGAGAGAAGATCAACCTTTTTACTTGTAAAATTGTCTCAGAACATCAGAGCTTTCTGTTTCTCAGGGCAAATGATTAGTTTGCTAAATATAAATAAAAACCCAATTTGCCTGACACTTTGGAATATCTTAAAGTAAATATGCGAATTGGAAAATCTCCTTCACCAGAGTTGCATTTTAAATTAGGCCAAGCTTAAAAGAAAAATTAAAAAAAAAAAAACAAAAAAACAAGAGGCAGTGAACCTAAAGTCATTTTAATAAGTTCTTTTTGCTCTGGCCCTCCCCCTATTCATATCAACCCTCTCTTTGCTTTCCTTTCTCCCCTTCAACCTTTCTCTTTTTGAAGTTCACAGCTTTGAAACACACTATTATTATCTTATCTCTTATCTTTCCTTTCCTGCAGCTTCTTTCTATTACCTTTTTCTTAGCTATCTAGAGGAAGGTGTGTTTGTCGGTGACCTCTGAGTGGTTTTTGACTTCAGGAATATACTTTTGTTTTCTTAGTCTGGTGATCCGGGGAAAAGGACTTGAAAACCTGGTAAATGAATATTGATAAACTTTGGGTTCATAGACATTTTTGTCTCTTTTGATATATGTGCCAGAATGTGTGTATATTATTCTCCTGTGATCTCTTATAACTGATAATGCTTTCCCACTCTTTCACTTAGAATTATGTGTAAAATAAAAAACACATAAATAAAACCTTAAACTTCTATTTCAAAATTCCAGCCTAACATTTTATTCAAAAAAACTATATACAGTGTGGCTGGGCGCGGTGGCTCACGCCTGTAATTCCAGCACTTTGGAAGGCCGAGGCGGGCAGATCACGAGGTCAGGAGATCGAGACCATCCTGGTTAACACGGTGAAATCCCATCTCTACTAAAAATACAAAAAAAATTAGCCGGGCGCGGTGGCGGCGCCTGTAGTCCCAGCTACTCGGGAGGCTGAGGCAGGAGAATGGCGTGAACCCGGGGGGCGGAGCTTGTAGTGAGCCGAGATCGCACCACTGCACTCCAGCCTGGGCGACAGAGCGAGACTCCATCAGAAAAAAAAAAAAAAAAAAGTATATATGTGTGTGTGTGTGTGTATATATATATATATATACTGTGTTTTTCCTTTCTTCTAACTTCTCTCACTTTAAGCCAAGTGAGATCTTCTACCTAGTCAGATTGTTGACATAGCATAGTCTTCTCTGGACATTCAGAACAGAGGAGCCTGTAAAAGTGACCAGAGCAGCTTGGCGCAGCAGTGTGCCTCACCGTCTCGCTTCATTGATCCAGGCCCTACACTTTGATCATATTAACTTTATAGCACTGAAGTTTCATATTAACCTTGTGGCTAAATATATATATTTTTCCAGTTATGCCCATATTATATTTCCACAACTGATTACTTAACTGAATTTAAATTCAACTTAAACTAAATGTATTTGTAATATTCCTGTTAAATTTAATCTTGTTTTGTTGGACTAAGATTTCTAGCCTATTGAGATAGATTTGCATCTGATGCTTTCATTTGTCATCTCTCCCAACTATATGTCATTAAAAATGTGATGATTATACCTTCTGTGCCTTATTCTAGTCATTAAACTTTTTTTTTTGTACAGATCAGGACCAAAGACACAATCTTTCATCAAACTATCAGGTCTCTAGTCAACTTGACATGAATCAATACGCTCTGTGTACTCCTCTACCAGTTATAAATTTATTCCTGATCCTCAAGGATATTAAGAAAGTTGTGTAAAATACCTCACCAAAGTTAAAATATACTATATGATATTTTCCAAATCAATAATACCAGCAAACCTGCTAAAAAGCAAGTCAGTCAATTTTGATGCCACTTGTTGGTGATAAATCCTTGCTGATTTCCAATTATTTTAATTTTTTTAAAGTCCATAACATTGTTTAATAATTCTTCCTTTTTCAGCATTTCATGTGACTATTATTTTAATCACTTTCACATTAGAGATGTTTAACACAGTCTGTTACGCCATAGTTTTACATGGAAAGAAATCTCCAATCTTATAACAGCTGGCACTAGGAAAGGGAAACCATATTATAACTAGATTTCTTGAAGTGCATCTATTCCGTTAAGTGAAAATGAATGAACAAGTTTATTACAATGCACTAGGTATTTTAAAAATTATTAGTTAGGTTTTTTTCCCTTGGAATGATGAAATCAGTCAAATGACTGCTAGCTCCTCAATGCTGTACAGTAGAGAATGCAAATCAAAAGTATGGCTTTTATACATAAAAGTATAAGAGATGTAAAATCTAGAGAACAAGAGCATAATAGCATATTCATAATAAGAATGCATATGTAAAGAATGTTTTACATTTTTACTGTTTATTTGGTGGGGGATATAAATGAAAGCTGTAATAGGGAAATTAAGTAAGTAATTCCCTGTCTAGTAACTTGTAACTTGTTCAAATTACAAAACGAGTTAGTTTAGTAATTTAAAAATTATATCCATGTTCTTTATCTCATTTGATCAAAAGGATTTATTGGGAACACAAGAGATACTTGTGGTATAAGGCCTAAAATAGAGATCCAGTATTATGTACTGTCTTGATACCTGGAGGACCTCAAAAGGCAAGTTCTGTTCTCCACGCTGCTCCTGCATAGATATAGGTACCTTAGCCAAGCAAACTTCCTTATCAAACAGATGAGGTAAATTTCTTGCTTATTACAAAGTAGCAGGTTCAGTTCCCTGCCAGCCCATGGAAACATTCTTCTCCAGGAACCGGGAAACATCTCACCCTCTTGATACTACAGTGCTGGCCTTTTTCAGCCTCTGGTTGTTCACCCTGTTTCTGAGTACAGCCCCTGTGTGTCCCTGCCTGCTGTGTGATCTCCTCCCCCAGGCTGGAAGTATATGACTAGTAAACTGCTGCCAATATCATCGGTCCAAGTTGGCTATCGTGTGTTCAGCCATTCCTATAACCTTAGGGTAGGAATCTTCCCACACTAATGGGTAAATAGGAGGTATTTGATATGGTTTGGCTGAGACCCCGCCCAAATCTTGAATTGTAGCTCCCATAATTCCCATGTGTCATGAGAGGGACCCAGTGAAAGGTAATTGAGCCATGGGGGCAGGCCTTTGCCATGCTGTTCTCATGATAGTGAGTAAGTCTCACTAGATCTGATGGTTTTACAAAGAGCAGCTCCCCTGTGCGCAGCTTTCTCACGTAAGACATGACTTTGCTCCTCCTTTTCCTTCTGCCATGATTGTGAGGCCTCCCCAGCCACGTGGAACTGTGAGTTCATTAAACCTTTTTTTCTTTATCAATTACCCAGTCTCAGATATGTCTTCATTAGCAGCCTGAGAACAGACTAATACAGTGTTTAAAACACAAAAACAGTTCTTGAAGAATGCAGGAATTAGCCAAAACAAAATAGTAAGCAGGCATCTAAACTGAAAAGAAATAATAAAAAAAAAAAGAATGGAGGTAGGTAGACATTACTATGGTGTATTTGGGGAACAAGCCTGTTCCAGCTAGAGGAGAAAGCGTTTTTGAGAGATAATACATTTAAATGGAGATCATGAGCTATATCAATCATTCAAAGAAACTTGATTCAATATGGTTTAAAGTAATGAGCTTTTGCAAAACGAAGTGTTCTGATGGAAGTGGTATTTGAGGAAGATTAGAAGCCAGAAAGTCATAAATCTTAGCATTAGTAGAAATTATAGTCCAGTGTAGCTTTCAATGCTTGGGTCTCCTCTCCAGGATTTCTGCCAAGGGATCTTCAGTATCAGCTTAAGGTAGGTATGTACCCTGACTGCTTCTTGAGACAACCCATACCATCTTTGGTTACCTGTGGTGGTTAATACTGAGTGCCAACTTGATTGGATTAAATGATGGAAAGTATTGTTCCTGGGTGTGTCTGTGAGGGTGTTGCCAAAGGAGATTAACATTTAAGTCAGTGGGCTGGGAAAGGCAGACCCACCCTTAATGTGTGTGGGCACAATCTAATAAGCTGCCAGCATGGCCAGAATAAAAGCAGGCAGAAAAACGTGAAAAGACTAGACTGGCTTAGCCTCCAAGCCTACATCTTTCTCCTGTTCTGGATGCTTCCTACCCTTGATCATCAGACTCCAAGTTCTTCAGCTTTGGGACTTGGACTGGCTTTCTTGTTCCTCAGCTTACAGATGGCCTAGTGTGGGACCCCACCTTGTGATAGTGTGAATTAATATTCCTTAATAAACTCCCCTTTATATATACATCTATCCTATTAATTCTGTCCCTCTAGAGAATGCTGACTAATTCAGCACCTCTACCTTGCAGAAAATTTTGACGCAATAATCCCATTACTGGGTATGTACCCAAAGGATTATAAAGCATTCTACTCTAAAGACACATGCACAGGTATGTTTACTGCAGCACTATTCACAATAACAAAGACTTGGAACCAACCAAATGCCCATCAATGATAGACTGGATAAAGAAATTGTGGCACATATACACCATGGAATACTATGCAGCCATAAGAAAGGATGAGTTTGTGTCCTTTGGAGAGACATGGATTTAGCTGGAAACCATCATTCTCAGCAAACTAACACAGGAACAGAAAACCAAACACCACATGTTCTCACTCATAAGTGAGAGTTGAACAGTGAGAACACACAGACACAGGGAGGGGAACATCACACACTGGGGCCTGTCTGGTGGGTGGGGGGTTAGGGGAGTGATAGCATTAGGAAAAATACTTAATGTAGATGACAGGTTGATGGGTGCAGCAAACCACCATGGCACATGTATACCTATGTAACAAACCTGCACGTTCTGCACATGTATCCCATAACTTAAAGTAAAATAATAATAATTTTAAAATGATGTTTGTACATGTTAGTTCTGTCATAACAATTGAAATCCAGAGACACATGTTTAAATATCTTCCTTCCCGTAGCATATTTTTAAAAGAAGTTGTTTCTGTACTGCAACTGAGACTGCAATTGGCCAACTAGATTGCCTAGTATCATTGAGCAGTAAGCTGCAAAGCAGATTTCAAACTCACTTTCTCAAATCAGATTCTTTCCACAACACTACTGCTGTCATTGACAAATAGAGGAAAGTTAAAATGTGTATCTATGTATTATTTTACCCTTTGCAATTGAGAAATCATGATTTAAGTATATGATGGGAAGCTTTAAATAAAATGACTGTACATAGTGGCTCTTTTACATACTCATGTTCGGATTTTTTTCTTGTTTTTAGAGCTGTTAGATTTTAACAACTTGAACATGTATACAATAATAAAAGTAAATAGCTGCTTTTTAAATGCAATTAAAGAAAGTTTTTTTCCTTTTTCTTTTGAAATAATTATTATGGAAAGTCCTCTGAAAAGATGGGTATTCTTAATCAAAGGGAATTTACTAGTAATAATTACTCCATAAAGTACTCTGGTATTAGTTAAGTGCTCACATGGACTATGTGCATTCAAAAGTTTCCAAGTACTTTAGATTCCTGAACTATAGAAATTGATGCTTTATAATTGTTTTCTAATTAGAGATCAGTATAATTATATGAAGATACAGATAAAAATCAGGAGCTGTCACTGTAGCACATGAGAAGTGGTGGTGGTGATACATTTTGTGGGATGTTTTTTGTTGGTTTTATTTTGGTATGAATAAACATAGAAATGGTCATAAATCAGGCTCCCCTGACATGTGAAAAGACATATACAGTTTTTGTTTTCATTTGAAAAATTACTTTATAGGTTGAAGTGTCGAATATATTTTGGTATGTATTCAAGTGTAATTTATCTGTTTTCTTTCTGTCTATACTAGAATCATAAAGTTGAATATCACAGTAAAGTCTGCATTAGTTATTCAGGTGATATGATTTCTTTTTTATACAGAAATGCCCCAAAGCATTAAATCTTTTCTGTATTCATTCTGGTAACTAGAAAAAGAACTTTGTAGTGGTTGCTTGAAAATGAAAACTGCTGGGAACGGAGGGAGAGGAGATGTATGCACTTCTTTGTCCTTAGTCTCAGCTTGTGGGGCACACAATTCTACCATGAAGAATGAGTTCTGTGGGATTTTTGTGCCTTTATTATAGAAAATAGAAGTTTGAACTTGGGGATATTTCCCCCTTTTTTTATGACATTGTAATGTTCTGAACAGATAAATTCCAAACTCTAAGGAGCAATCTAAAACCTTTGAAACATAAAGACTGAAAGTAACAATAAGTTACAAACAAAAGGAGCTTTGTAAACTCGACAGTAGGAAGTCAGTTCATCACATTACCTTTCATATTTCTCTTCAAAGCAGGCAAACCTTCCAAGTCTGAGAATATTGTTAATAAAATATAGCACCAATTCCCCTGACATTGTATTGAACTATACTTGCCTTCTGTTATTACCAAAAGACTTTTCAAGGAACCTCAAGCTCAGGTGCAATGTGCCCATAGTGGAGGGGGTTCAAGTGGGGGACCTGACATAAAGGGAAATATGTGGGAACTGAATGAAAGCTCTGAGCAAGGACAGAGGGAAGGGATAAATAGTATCACAGCATTGGAAAGGAGGCTGCAATTAACAATTATCAATAACTTTAGAAATGACTAGAAAGTATCTTTGGCAATGCATCTGCATTCAAACAATGCTTATGATCATGATGAAGATAAGGCTTATTGAAGTGGTTTGACTGGTGATGAATACCAGCAATGCAGCTAAAGCAGGAGAGGAGACCAGAGACAACATCTACACGTGAAAGACTTTAACCTAATGTGTTAGGAATAGAAAGCATACATTTTTGAACTCCGAAATTTAACATAATCAGATTTACATTGAAAGTATCACAGTAGTTTAGATTATAAGGCTGCAATAATAGGAGAGAGACGAGTCAGAAGGCTACTTCAATATTCATTTGAAGAATATGGTGGCATGAATTAGAGGGGTTGCTGTGGATGAAGTCAAGTAATCAGATTTAGGATAAATTTGAAGATATAGTGAACATGATTATCTGATGGATGGACATGGGATGTGAGAAAAAGAGAGGGGCCAATGTAATTTCAACGTTTTTGTCTATGCAGCTAGGTGAGTAAATGGAGGCATCTCATATGAAATTGGGAATCAATGAGAGAGGATTTGAGTTAGGAGGAAGAAAACTAAAATATTTTGTTTTAGATATGTAAAGTTTGAGATGTAAATTGGAAATCCAAGAGAAGATGTAAGCAGGTAGAAATATGAATATTGTATTATTCAATAGGTAGAAACTAGAAAGAAAAATCTGAGTTTTATCAACAGAAAGATCTTTAGGATAATAAGACTGTATGATAGCAGCTAGAGAGTGAGTATGGAGAGAGACAGAGTAAGAGAGAGAGAGAGAGAAACAGAGAGAGAGAGAGAGAAATGGAGAGAGAGAGTCTGTGCGTATATTGGGGGAGATGGTCTCAAGACTAAGCCCTTAACATAGAAAACATTTATGTTAAAGACCTTCCCTATGAGTCAAAATCCTACCATAAAATCCTACCATAAAAAATCCTGCCACAACCATGAACATTGTTAAATTTCCTTAGTACCAGGCTGATAATCCTACTGCTCCTATCTGCTAACCTTCAGTGGTACATTTTGTTTCCTTAACTAAAGCAAATTTTACTCAGCAGTTAGTCCAAGGATTTTTTTTTTTCTGAAAAAAACAAAACCAAAAACAAACAGCTAGTTCTTGCTCAGGCAAAGCTTCATAAACCAAAGTTGACTATTTGTGTCTACAGACTTGGTAAACTAAGTATGTGGCCTTCCTAAGACATAACCATGTTGAACCAATTCAACCAACTTTAGACCTTGAGGCATCTGATGTTTCTCCTAAACAGTGAAATGTTATAGGAGCTTCAGTAACATCCAGGGCCCTGTTTGACTTCAGAAACAATGAGCTGCTAAATATTATTTACTTGTTACCCACTCTGTATGAGAAGGTTGGGGAGAACGGGAAATGAAAAAACAATGTCTCTTCCACTACCTTGATGTGTACAGAAATAATGGATTTCATGTGAGTGGTTGACAGAATTACTTTCTTTTCAGCCTCTGAATAGCTTTACCTGTGTGCGCCATATTGAGAAGCCTTCTGCGAGCAATGTCAGTGATTGCACCTGCCCAGTGTGCTGTTAGGCCTTCAAAATCTACTTCCCAGAGGAAATGCTCTAGACATCTGATCATGAAAGATAAGAATATTTTGCTTCAAGACTTTTGCCACTTTCCTATTGTGAAGTATATTTTGTGGTCCTGCACTTCTGTGTTCCAGGAACTCCTAGGAAATTTTTCTGGTTTTCTAATCCTATATCACAAAATGCCACAAAATCTAGCTACTTAAAAAACAACCATTTTATTAAATTCTGCACACTTGAGGTTCAGGAATTTGGGAAGGCTTTTCTAGGTGGTGCTTTTCTCCATATGGCATAAATAGGTGTCATGGGGCTGGTCTGAATAGTCACAGGTCACAGGTTGAGAGACACTGAACAAAGAGTGAGAGCTGATTTTAACGATGAGGATTCTATACTTCAAGTTGATGTTATAATGGAATGAGACGTCTGAGAACCTTGAGAGGAGTTATTTCACATTTGGTAGGGAAATAAAAAATCGTTAGAGGCCAGAGGGTGAACTTTGATAGTCATTTAATATCAGTTCCAATGATCCCTATCTCCTGGTATTCCTGCCTCTTTTCTAATAAGCAGAATATAGCAAAAGTTGCGGAATGTCATTTTCCACGATTAGGTTTTAAAAGACTTCTGTCTTGCTAGTAGGCTCTCTCTATTGCCTTCTCAGCATGTGTGTTTTTGCCTTGCTGGAGAAGCCCATGTGGCAATAAACCGAGGGCAGCCTGTGGCCAATAGCAAATAATTGAGGTCTTCAGTTCAATGACTTGTGAAGAACCGAATCCTGCCATTAACTGTGTGATATTGGAAGCAAATCTTTACCCAGTTGAGATTTGAGATGGCCAAAACCCAGCCAACAACTTGCTTGCAGCCTGTGAGACACCGTGAAGAAGAGGTCCAAGATAAATTTGCCAGATTCTTGATGCGGAGGAACTACAAATAACAAATGTGTTTTTTAACTTAAGATTTGAGGTAATTTGTTACTCATCTAAAACTAATGAAGAACAATTACTGTCTTTCATTTTTCTTTTCTCTGACTAGTGGTTTAATTTTTACTGTAGCTCGGCTTCTTCATAAGGTGGAGGTCATGGTCTTTAACTGCTTTACATCTTATAGCACATTCTTTCCCTAACTGACTAGAATAAGCATTTAAATAGGGATATGGATGAAGCTAGAAACCATCATTCTCAGCAAACTATCACAAGGAAAAAACCAAACACGGCATATTCTCACTTACAGGTGGGAATTGAACAATGAGAACACTTGGGACACAGGAAGGGGAACATCACACACCAGGGCCTGTTGTGGGGTGGGGGGAAGGGAGGAGGGATAGAATTAGGAGAAATACCTAATGTAAATGACGAGTTAATGGGTGCAACACACCATCATGGCACATGTATACATATGTAACAAACCTGAACGTTGTGCACATGTACCCTAGAATATAAAATATAATAAAAATAAATAAATACATAAATAAATAAATAGGTAAATCAAGTCACATCATTGACCTTCTTAAACTCCTCACTTCCAATGGCTTCTCATTATACTTAGAATAACATACAAACTTTCCACAGATAAAGACCTTAGATGAGTTATTGCTTCTTTCAATCCCCCATACTTTATTTGGTTTACTGCCCTCCCCCACACAAACTCTCTCCTTATCACTTTCTGTCCACTCTTGTATTATTATTTTTTTTTTCTGAGCATGCACACTCAGCTATGTTCTGCTCCACTAGGCCACTTGAACTTCTACATCTTAGCTTCAGTTGTTCTTCTACATCTTAGCTTCAGTTGTTCTTCTCTCTGGTCTTTGCTTCCCTGGATCTTTTCATCCTTTTAGTTATGCCAGAAACATTGCCTCCTTAAAGACCTGTTCCCACATTCAAGCTAGAGAAGAACCAAGTTTCATGACAACTTGTATACATTTGTCTGATTAATTTTCTACATAAAGTTTAATTGCTATGTCACATCATCTTAGCTGCACACAGAACTACTAATAATTTCCCTCCCATTAGACTATAAATTGCATGAGACTGGGGCCTGATCTTCTGTATTTCATTGCTATAAATTCAGGATTTGTTAAACAAATAATGAGTTACCCATTAATTAATTATAAGTGATATTTACATACAATGTTATACAATGTTATATGTTATACTTACAACACAGAGGATTATTTCTTTTTTTGCAGACAAGGCTTTTTGAGAAACCAATATAAGATTGGTAGTGGCTTGGAATAGAGATTTGTTAAAGGGAATTTGATAGAATTATTTTCTTAAATATAACTTTCATGGAGCTTATAGGAATTGCATTTGTGTTGGATACAGTTTCTTTTGAATAATGCTAGGGATATACCAGCTGAATGTCATTTTGCAATTTGTGTCCAAGGAAGAGGATCATAAGTTTACTTTTGGACAGTGAACACCAAAGGGCCTTGGAGACATCTACATGTATATCACAAATGAAGGTTAGATACTAGATTTCTCATACACGGAAGAGTGGTTTGGTATAATGTAACATCTTTCTATGTTTTATGTAGGGAATAAAACTGAAACCATGGAATGTATTGGGTCTCCTAAAGAGAGTATAGGGAAAGCAAAAATAGATTATGAATGAACTTTGATGCACTCCATTATGTAAAGTCCTGGGGATAGGAGAGTAGTCAACAAAGGAGATGGAAGAAAGGTCAGACATATTGGAGGCAAATCATAAGCAAATACTAAAGGAAATAATATTTCCAGAAGAAGATAGCAGCAACATATATCCACAGTTAAGGTGTCAGATAAGGTAAGGATAAAATTTGTCCTTCATTTTAAAGGCATCAAGATCATTAAAAACTTAACAGAAGAACTTTCTGTGAAATGGGAGGCTAAAGCCAAACTGCAGTGAGTTGAAGAGAGAACAGAAAAGTCAGAACTAAAATTGTAGACCTGAAAAAAATTGAAGAAAGCTGAGATCCATTTGGTGGTGATGACAATGTTATTGACATGATTCCTATGAGCCTTTTGCATCTCCTTTTCAGGAGAAGGAAAGTCTGGACATTTTGTCTAATCTCCATATGGTGAAAGCCAATTCAGCCTTTGATGTATATTTTCATCTGAATTATTTTCTTCGGTTGCATTTATTAGTCTTTGTTTCCCAACATCTGTTTCCTCTTCTTTATTCTTTAATAATAGGCCAAGAGTAAAGGAAATCATCCAGGAACTGACACTGAATTGAAATAAACCTGGAAGTGACATTCCACCTTCAGCTTTTACAACATCTATTGTGTCCCTCTGAAGAAGTAACTTAACTGTTTAATAAGCTGGTTTTACAAACTATCTAAGCATTCTTCAATTCCCCGAATTCCACGTGACTATTTGAAGCCTACATTTTACTTACAGCTGTTGTGAGTAATTTGCATTTTTAGTTGTGAAATATGGGCATAGATAAACAATTAACCAAACTTCTAGGGAGCTTTTTCATTTAATTATTAGAAGTCTACCCATTATTTTTCTTCAACAGAAAAATAATTAACATATGTTATATTTTCTACATAGATTTTAATGTTCTGCAAATAAGTTGAAGTTCTATCTAGGTAAACACCACAAGCATATAAAAATGATTAATTCAAATAAAACCAAAAAAGGTCATATTGCCTTTTATAATAAATATTATAAAGTTGTTATTGTATTTTAATGTATACAAGCCTCTCAGTTCCTATGTCCAGAATACTATAAAAGCTGCCATTTTATTTTCCAGATACAAAAAAACCCATAATATTACCCTACATTGAGCTAGGGAATTTAGCCTTAATTATTAGTTTCATAACAAAATGATTTTTCCCTGTGAAATGTAGAGACAAAGAAAGACTTTTGTGAAAATACAGTTTGTTCTTTTTTTTTTGGCAAACTACAATCTGAATTTTCCATCAGCATTTCAAAATAAGTTTTTCAGTATGAGAGAAGAAAGACAATGCAGCCGCCCACTCTCCCTGATCCCTGCTGTGCTTCCCAAATGATGCTTTTGGCATTTGTACTTTGCTGTAGCAAAGAAATAAACTAAAACTAAAGTTCAAGCAAGGTCTAATTCTGTAATACTATCTGTAACTGTTAAGTGAGCAACATAAGGCTGAGACACATCTAAATTAATCTTTTGGCACCTGTCTTATAATTTCTCCCCTAAACTCAGTGATCTTATGTAGATGGTATACTTTAGAATAGGTATTATTGTTAAATTTATGAACACAAATACAAGTTCACACATATGAATTCTGAAGAAAATAAGATGCTTTAAAAAAAAAACAAAAAACAAGAAAACATACTAACCAAATAAATATGGATGACGTTATCTCTATGGCAACCCTAAAAAATCATTTTTGGTATACTAGTGCTATAGCAGACTTGTTATAATTCAATAATTTATTATGAGAAAGGCAAAGTATACCTTTGGTGAATATTTACCCACGCTACCTAATTCTACCAACATAGCCTGAATAATTTTAATAACTTACTTACGACCACACAGTTTTCTTGGAGCAAGCACATCCAGGACTAGCTTCAAATCTGACTCTTCACTCATCACTATCATGTAACATATATCAATACTAATTGACCATCTGAATCCCATTTTTATTCCTCAGAATACAAATGCCAGAACACCAGTCTCTTGCATTCTATTCAGTAGGCCTGGGGAGTGACAAAGTCATATCTGATTATGATACACAGACAATTTGGGAAAGAACTGTTTAATATTCAAAACTTGTTTAATATGGTCACAATAGGTCACAAGATGTTAATCTTACTTGTTGAAATAGATTTTGTTTAGAATAGTTCTATCCAGACTGGGATAGGTAGCATCCTTAAGGCATGTTATATATAGCATAGAATTCTCATTTCATCACTTGACAGCCAATATTTTCCTGTTCTTACAGCTTTTTCTCAGCACACATATTGCTGCTAAGAATTCTGATTCTCATTAGAAAATATTAGTGTGTAATAAGATACATTTAATGTAAATATGTGTGTTTACCTTTTCCTGAGTACTAGTGTTTCCACTGAGTAAAGCATTTAACATGTCTTGCTGATCTTTTCCTAACAGCCCAAACTTTAGATGCCTAAGCCTCTTTTCATAGAAAGTAGAAGGTGAAAATGTCCTTTTTGCTTTGCCTTTGTCTCTATCAAACGACCCAATTCTAGTTGTGGTTCAGTGTTTAATAATCTCCTATATCCTGTGTAGGAAAATAGCAGGCATAAAGATACAGTGTTGGTTTTATGAAAGTATTAATATATTTTTACTACTAATAAACATATTTATATGAATATAATTATGTGAATGTTTGTGTCCCACCAAAAATTGATAAGCTAAAAACTAATTGCCAATGTGGTTGTGATGATGTTAGCAGATGGGGCATTTGGGAGGTGATTAGGTCACCTGAGATGATTAGGTGACCTAAAGGTGGAACTTTCATATATATGGGGTTAGTGCCCTTATAAATTCACCAAGTGAGGATGTAGCTAGAAGGTTTCATCTATGAACCATGAAATGGGCTCTTGTCAGACACCAAATCTGCCAGCACCTTGATGTTGGAATCCACAACCTTTAAAGCTGAAAGAAATGTGTGTGTGTGTGTGTGTGTGTGTGTGTGTGTGTACACAATATATATACACACACAGGAAAACAAACAATATATATGAAATATGTATTTATATATAAATGTATATATAAATATACACATATACTGATATATAAACATACATATATGAAATATATATAGTTTATTTGCTTGTTTGTTTACAAGCTGCCAACTCAATGGTATTTTTATAGCAGTTTTGTTATAGCAAGGAAGGGCAAGGCAGCTCTAAACATGACCTTGTGTGTGTGTGTAATTATTAAAGAGCACAGTTTTTGTGTCACAGAGCCATAGGCTTCTATCCTGTCTCTGCTAGTGTCTAGTTTGATTTTTTACTCAAGTTACTTAGATTCTCTAAAGTTTTCATTTCCCAGTCTGTAAAATTATAATATTTATTTTACAAATTGTTGCAAATATTAAATGTGAGGAAGTATGTGAAATTTTTAACATACTTCTCAGGGTATATGTTTGGTTGTAACGATTATTAATTGATCAATGATATTTCATTATTGTATGAATCAGTCTAATAACTGAGGATAAATGAATATATTAGAAGAACACTTTGATACAGAAATAAAGAGAAAGAGAAAGCTATGGAGTAAAGCATAGGAATCATGGAATCCATAGACTTTTCTTAATATTTTCCACAATAATGATAATCTCCTTTGAAAATTTCATCTGCCTTTCATCCACATGTTATTCTGCTCAAGATTCAATTTTCTGAGAGGAAGAGTATGATTGGTCTACTTGGGTCACATGCACTCTGCAAGGGAAAAGGGAAGGAGCATGCAGAGTGGTAGATCTCTGATGTACAGTTCCATAAATAACACAGGGGGTATGAAAATTACTCCACAAAGGAAAAGAAGAAAATTTTTTTTAAAAAACAGGGATATGAGAGACTGGTTGGAACCACAGATATCTATTATATCCACCCCTTGTTTGTTTACAATTAAAAAATACACTCACACAGAAATAACTCTTTTCCTCACTACAGTTTTAAAATTTTAAAATGCTCCCACTCTCCCCAATTTATATAATTGTTTTATTGTGCCTGCATGTATACACACACCCATAAATGCACTCTGCTTATCTTATTTCTACAGGGTGACAGCCTAAATCCATTGACAATCCCTTCACCTTGGGTGATGCCTTGGGTGATTTTCTTACGGTATGTTGTAATGCAATGTAATAGTCTATAAACTGTAGACATAAATTTATCTACCT
Organism: Homo sapiens; assembly: GCF_000001405.40. NCBI lineage: Eukaryota > Metazoa > Chordata > Mammalia > Primates > Hominidae > Homo > Homo sapiens. The sequence goes on from NC_000003.12 coordinate 86,211,839, forward strand.
AAAATACACTTTATATACTAGTAGAAATAAGATTAGTTGAAAATCAGTGCCACGCATAATTAAAAATATATTTGGATTATGAAGTGAAGGTATGAATCTTTTTTCTGCAACTGGTTCCCAAGCTATAATTGATTTTTTTCATATGGTATAGATCAATACATTCATTAAGCCACTTTTGGGCGTTAGCTTCCTCCAGAGTCTGAAAAAAAAAAACAACCCACCCAACAAACATTCAAACAACCAACTAACAAACCAAATTCACTTCTCAGATGACCTTGTAACTAGGTTTTGGGTTATGATTTAATTTCCACCAATTGTAGCACTTGTGTGAAATGCCAATCTTGCGTGAAGTTTAAAAGGTAAAATTGAGTTGGAAATGCCTTTCTACTGGTTCTCCTGACATGCTGTTCATGTCAGTCATGGAGATGCTGTGTTTTCTAGTGTCAGCATGCAAAGGGGAGGTTCATGTGTTCCTTGATTGATTACCCTCGCAGATTCAGCAGTTGACATTGTTGTTGCATCAACAGTTGCAGGAATGATAGTAGTTTCTGTTTATCTAAATTGAAGTTAAGGGAATTGAACGATGAGAACACATGGACACAGGAAGGGGAACATCACATACTGGGGCCTGTTGTGGGATAGGGGGAGCGGGGAGGGAAAGCATTAGGAGACATACCTAATGTAAATGATGAGTTAATGGGTGCAGCACACAAACATGGCACATGTATACATATGTAACAAACCTGCATGTTGTGCACAGGTACCCTAGAACTTAAAGTATAATTAAAAAAAAAAAATCCTATGTTCCTGAATATAATCATCTCAAATGCTGTTTCTTGATTTCCCTACCTCACTGATTGTGGCAGAGGTAACAACTTTCTGAACCAGGTCTATAAGTTTATTTATGCTTTTTCACTGAGAGTGTGAACCAAACCTTTTCAAAGTAATCTTTGTAATCTAACTATAACATTGGACATTGTACAGAAAAGACGGCATCCCGGTCACCTGGGTTCCAACTGTACTTTTCTAGGTTTCTACCTAATGGTAGTTATCTTACTGTTCTTTATTACTGTTTCATTACTACAAAATACTCCATCTGTATTAGTTCATTCTCATGCTGCTAATAAAAACATACCTGAGACTGGGTAATTTATAAAGGAAAGAGGTTCAATTGACTCACAGTTCAGCACGGCTGGGAGGCCTTAGGAAACTTACAAGCATGGCAGAAGGGGGAGCAAACACGTCTTTCTTGACATGGTGGCAGCAAGGAGAAGAAGAATGAGACTCCAGTGAAGGGGGAAGCCCCTTATAAAACCATCAGATCTCATGGGGACAAATTCACTATGACAAGAACAGGATGGGAGAACTGCCCCATGATTTAATTATCTCCACTTATGAGAACTACAATTCAAGATGAGATTTGGGTGGGGACACAGCCAAACCATATCACCAACCAACAATGAAATATCTTTTTCTCCCTATTGTTTAGTGTTGCACATAGCACGTAGTGACCAGCTCTTAGATCCCTAACCATTGGAGCTATTGTTGGGTCCACTAGTAGAAAGTGTTTATGTCTTGGACAATAAAAATCTAAAAATCTGTAGAATCTGAGGTCCTTGGAAAAATTAACAATATTATGGAGGTATATATTTGAGTATAAACCTGAAGTCACCACCAACCCCAAACATTGGTTCTGGGACCCATTCATTCTATCTATAGGAAAAACTGCATTGTTAATTGTCATTTGAATCAAATCACAATGGATAAATTTGTGTCATTACACAATTTAGTAAAATTAACTGATATGGTTTGGCTGTGTCCCCACCCAAATCTCATCTTGAATTGTAGCTCCCATAATCCTGTGTCATGGGAGGGTAATTGAATCATGGGGCAGTTACTCCTATCCTACTCTTCTTGTGATAGTGAGTTCTCACAAGATCTGATGGTTTTATAAGGGGCTTTTCCTCCTTTTGCTTGGAGCTTCTCCTTGCTTCAGCCATATGAAGAAGGATGTGTTTGCTTCCCCTTTCACCATGAATGTAAGTTTCCTGAGGCCTCCCCAGCCATGATGAACTTTGAGTCAATTAAACCTCTTTTCTTTTTAAATTACCCAGTCTTGGGTATGTTTTATTTAGCAGTGTGAGAACAGACTAATACATTAACTTTATTTAGATGATAAAGTAGACAGTACTAGAGAATCCAAAGGGGATAAGGGTGTTGCTTCAGTTTTTCCATTGGAAAATCTATCTGAGTGAAGTCAAAATTATATAAGAGAACAGGAGAGCATATGAGGTATCTAGTAAATTCATTAGTAGAGGTGCCGACAAAAGCATTTAGAGGCAGATGAAGTACATCATTGCCAGAATAAGGTCTATTTTAGGAAAGAAAACTAACTTCAACTTTTAATATAAAAGGTATTAATACGTAGGATAGTAGCTTGCCTTCAGAATGGTCTCTTAAAGACATGGTGCCATATCGAGACTGTAAGTTTTTTTTTTTAACTTATTTTTCACTGCTGGAAATATACACTGTAAATCAGAGTAGTCAGGTCAGTCCCAGTGAGTAGAAATCCCTTAAAAACCCACATCTCTGCCATCTTGGACACTTTTAAGAGCCCATAAAACATGCACTGAGCTGGATGGCAAGAGTACTGATTCTTCATTTATGGAGTAGATCATTTTATCCCTTTGATTGTTAAGAATCTCTAATACAGAGGGGATTTAAAAATAAGCTTTTAAAAGGAATATGAATATCCTCATTCTCTGAGCCCATTCCAAAGGGGTACATTTCTCATCCACTCCATCTTCTGGCAAGCAAAATGAGGCCCAGTACAATAATAAATTGTTTACACTCAACTTGTGCTTATCTGCTTATTCTAGAGAAATTAAATGCCAAGAAGTTTAGGAGAGTGAGATTCTATAATTGGGAATTAGCTTGGATTTCTCAAAGTGTGAATTGGGCCAAAAACATTTTTGAGGTTCTGTTTGACCTGAAATGTAAGTATGTAGAAACTGGAAATTCTAGCTAAATAAGTAAAGATGAAATATAAGCACAACAATCTCAACGATAAACTTATGTCTCATTAACTTTGGTGGAGATAAATTTCCTGATAGCTTTCTTTATTTAATTCATAGTTTCACAAAACATCTTAAGGAGATATTTCTTTTGCAATGTAGACATTAATTCTAGAAGGGGTAAGGGTGGAGAGATAAGCTACTCAACTGAAATTTTTCTTATGTTTAAAAAATAATAATTATATTTACACAAATAAACTCACAAAACAAAAGTGACAGATGGTTAAAAAAGAATTAAAGCAGCACAGTAAATAGATCTATTTCAAGGATTTATAGAATGTATTTTTAGCACACTTTGATGAAATATATATAAAATTGGTGATATAATTTTAAATAGATTTCCACTTACCTTGGAAAATATAACAAACATGTACAATTGACACTCTGCATCCACTGATTGTGAATTCTCAGATTCAACAAACTGTGGATTAAAAATACTTTAAAAATAAAATTAAAAACCATAAAAATAATTTAAATAAGAAACAATATAGTATAACAATTACTTATGTAACATTTACATTAAATTCGGTATCATGAGTTTCTAGAGATAATTTAAAGTACATATATGGGAGGATGTTTGTAGGTTATATTCAAATATGATTCCATTTTGTTGGGGGTTCCTGGAATCAATCCCCCTCAGATACTGAGGAACTACTGTAGTGTGAAATTTGTTGGATTTAGTAGTAAATAACTCTCCATTTGAACTTAGTGCACATTCTTGGTTCTGATCATTTTAATATGTCAGTGTGATAGGGAATTTTAGAAGAGCTTAGAGTGTTTCTTTATCCTTAAAAATGAAAGTCTGTTTATTCCCTTCAAAGGAAAACTTTTCTTGCTACCTAGCCAGTGGAAAAAATATTCTTAAATCAATGTGTTTCTTATATTTTTAAGGAGGTATTTCTGCAGGCTCCATAAGATCTTTAGTAGGAGAGGATTTTATAACCATGATGTATAAATGTTTGTAGTTGAGGGTTGTGTAACTTGCAGCATAACTTAAATCTCTTGAGGTCTTTGTCTGAAGCCTACACAGTGGGCTTTCAGATTTTGTCTGAAAGTCCTACAATGACTTTGTTTTGTTTGGCCTTTTGAAGTGTATTTTCAATGACCCAATATGTCCTTGATAGTAAGCCAGTATGTTATATCCCTCCAATTAAGCCTTACATTTAGCAGGGAAGGAGGGAGGCCAAATATGAATATTGGCCTGTCCAAACTTTGATCCTTAAGATTACTTTTTTTCGTTTTCAGCAGTAATACACACTTGACTGTTGTCTTACATGTTGGGTACCGACTGAGGTACTTTCCAACTAGTAAGGTAGTATTTGTCACTATAAATTAAATGGTCGAAATGAATATTTAAAGTACTTCAAATATATTACATATACTTCGTTATTCTTATGAATTGTTTTAAGGTTGGGATTTAGCACACAGAAAACACTTTGCAAACTCTTTAACTTCTAATGAAGGAGACTTCTGATGGGATGCTGAGTAGAATCGAGAACATGCCTCCATCCCTACCAAGTTTCATACTTAAAAGTTCAAACATACAGCATTGAAATTAAAATATATATCAAAGAGAAGATATAACTGTAAAAAAAGAGAAAAGGAGAGGAGAAGGGGAAATCTTCAGGCACTTAAAGGGATTCCTAGCTGTGGCAGTAAAATGGAGTTGAAGCTGTATGGCTCACAGGGGAACAGGGGCCAGAACAGACCTGAGAGCCTGCGATATTGTTCTTGAGGGATCCAGAGTTGTAATTTGAAGCCTTGCTATGACAGAACTGTATCTGATCTCCCTTAATAAAGTCAACAGCTTAGAAAGAAATGCATACTCACTGAAATTTCCAACTGCTGGTTAAATTGTACCTATGAGAAAAATTGGACCTGAGCTATGACCAACCATTCAGGAGAGTGAGTTTCAGTTTCACAATACCTGTGTAACTGACTTGAAACTCTTCGGTCAGATGGGATGGATTCATCCCTCAGGCATGTGGATTGTTTGTTTCTTTGGGTATTTTATCTTTATTTACAGCTTCCTCTTTGTTTTAAACCTAAAGAGTACTGATGAGCAATGTAAGGGGACTATCCGGGAAAAGTATACCACTCAAAATACAATAAGAGTAATGATCATCACTAAGTAGAGCAAGATCTTTGCTCTGAAACCATCTTCTCATAGAGATCTTTCCTCGCTGCCCTATATAACACAATGCACAGCCACATTACCATGTGTTATTTTTCTGTTTATCCCTCATATACATCTGATATATCAAACATTTGTTTATTTGTTGTCTGTTTTTTTTAATATTCTATTGAATATAAGCTTTGTCTTTATCTATCAGGGTTATTTGTACATTGCTACATATCCAGAATGCAGAAACCATTTCTGGAAACTAGAATGCACTTAATAAATCTTTGCTAAAATTATTGAAGGCAAGTTTGATCTTAATTTGACAATAAATATAATAAACATTGCCCATCAATTTAAATATGAATAATTTGAGTCTGAGGACAAGATAATACTGAAAATTTATAGCTCAATATAGTGTTTTCTACATAACTTATTTTATGTTCTTTGCTAATCAGAAAATGACAAGACTCAGACAGAGAATGGAACTGAAAAATTACAAAATATTTAAAATGAAATTAGCTTTTTACTGGCCACTGTTAAGTATTCACTACCAAGTATGAATTCTCATGTCAAGCTGAGAGTTGAGAATGGTCAAGAAATGCAGGTGAGAAGATTTTGCTAAGGAAAGAATATCTTAAGTGCCAATGTCCAAAATTACATCACAGCTTGCTAAGGGCAGAGCATATGTATCTGTTGGTGATATCCAGTTTTAAGCACAGTCCACCTGATGATAGCATCCATGTTTGGAGTCAATTTATCAAGCAAATATCTTGGTAGATGTCTACCTAACTCACCTCACTGATGTATTAAAGCAGTATGTAAAGTAGCTAAAGATGGTATGATACAGCAGCAAAATTTCATAATAAAAAAACAGTATTTTTTCTACTAATATATTATAATATAGAGGAGAAACCAGAAAATCAGAAGAAACAACAAAACATCTCAAATACAAAGAACCACAAAAATTGGACACATTAATTATGATTGTGATCACTCTTTACATTGTACCTAACTTTACAAGAACACAAATAATTGGTCAGAACCACCATGAAGCTTTTCACATTTTTTGTTGCTTGTAATTGTGTATTGCTCTCTTCTGATCTTCTAAACTATACCCACTAAGAATATATTATCACCTTGCCACAAGACATTTTACTAGCACCTAGTCTTTTCCATGAATGTGTTGCTCAGTTTATACTTGAAAACAATGTGATTAGTCACAATGTACATAATTTTTATAGGTTTGATTAGGCTTAAGATACAAGATTAAAAAGATTTCTCTAAATTTTTCATCATATAATGAATTTTTAGTAACAACTTATACAGTATTTGAGTTCTTAATACTTGTATTTACCAATTACTTTAATTTTTTTCTTAGTTATACTGACTTCACATTGTTCCTTTATTTATTTTTATTTATTTGTTTGTTTGAAACGGAGTCTTGCTCTGTCGCCCAGGTTGGAGTGCAGTGGCACGATCTCGGCTCACTCCAAGCTCCGCCTCCTGTATTCACTTCATTCTCCTGCCTCAGCCTCCCAAGTAGCTGGGACTACAGGTACCCACCACCACGCCCGGCTAATTTTTTGTATTTTTAGTAGAGACGGGTTTCCTCCATGTTAGCCAGGATAGTCTTAATCTCCTGAACTCGTGATCTGCCTGCCTTGGTCTCTCAAAGTGCTGGGATTACAGGCGTGAGCCACCTAGCCCGGCCTGCTCCTTTTTTAATTGTTGCTTTTGTTTAATTTCGACATCTATTTTATGTCATTATCCCTAGTGGAGATTTCCATGGCTACGTTCACATCTAATGATGATTCTTCTGAGGTTGCTTCTTCCTTTTCTTCCTCCTCTTCTTCTTTGCTTCAAAGCATCCATATTATTCAGAGGCATAACCCACTTAGTTTTTGCAAGCCAACCTTCTACATAACACTTGTTTGAAGTATCTATATTTTTATTGAGTTTAACTTAAGGTTCATGATCAATTATCTTTGATTTTATGCAAAATATTATGTAAGACTGAACTATAATGAAAGAAAGATCAAAGTATTATCTCTAAATAATTTTTCCCAGGTTTCTCTGGATCCTGAACCTGAAGTTTTATATCCCAGAATTGTTGAGTCTCAGAGTCTCGACACCAGAATCATCCAACAAATCTCTTTGACCACGAAGTGTCCTGGGCCTTATCATTGGCCTGCTGATTTGATCTCTGGAGAGAGGGGCCTACATCTAAGCTCCTACAGTGATTTTAGTGCACACTATATTTTGAGAACCAATGAGTCCAGGAGCTCTAGAAACTTCACATATAGAAGAATATGTGAAAAGATTTCACATATTGTATTTGTATAACCATTTGTATTATGGTTATAATTAGATTTTTTATTTGCCTTTTAAGGGTCTTTAATGTAAGTAAAATTGAGTAAAGAGGTACATGTTTAGCCTTCACAGTCTACCATAGTAGCACAATAATTCAAGTCCCAACTAGGTATGTAGATACCACATAACACAAGCTGAAATTTGCCATCTTATGACAAGGAGATTCTTATTTTTAGATAAATATATACCAATTAATTCTGTTGGTAGAGGAGCTAAAAATTGTATTATCTATAAGCCTGGCATAAGAGAGCTGTATGATGATTTACTGATACAATATTTCTAGATATTATACAGAATATTGTATTTCTAGAAAATATACAATAATTCTAGATATTACAAGTAGTATCACTAAGAATAGGAAGCATTCATGGATGGTAATTTATTGTTAGTAGGTATTTCCTTTGTAAATAATTGTTTCAGTATATTTAAATCTCACAAGAAAACTTTTATGTATGGAATAAATATTTCACAGAGGAAAACAGAGTGTGTAGCAAAGTTCTGAGTTTTAAAATTTTACACATTTCATCGATTCAGTATTTCTGTCTTTTTGGGAGGGTGGGGTAGAAGAATTAAAAACATCAAGATTTGACTTTGGAAATGGGAAGCTATTGTTATTTATTCATAACTGAAGGAATCTCACAAATTATGGTCATTGAAAGTGGCTTTGAAATGTGCCTTGGAGGTTTAGCTCCCTCTTAGAGGAATTAATTCCTTATTCTTTCACACAGGACTGTGGGGGCATGAAATTTAGCCATTCATTTTGAGGCTATTCATTAAATGTGTGTGTTGTCATGACATTATATGATAGAGGTGGTTGAATTTATAATCTTTCTTATCTGCATATGATTTTCAGAATGTCAAGAAGGATTATTCTGAGGATGTGCCTGTGGTCATAGCCACTAACCAAATGCGGGGGAAGTGTGGGTACAAACTCTAAATGCATACGCATATTTCTTGGGAACCCTCAAATACTCAATTAAAGATAAGTATAGAAAATATTTTATTTCTCTTGTTATAGGTTTACCATAGTGTGAAGGCTTTTGAAGAGGAGCAGGAAGAATGGATGGCAGAGCATTATTTTAGCCTTTGCCTCCTATTAAAATATGTATTGACTCTCTGAATAGTGCTTGTATAATATACAAATCAAATAAGTTTTTTGAACCTTAGTAAACACATTTTTGATGAACAGGTATGAAATATATCATGCAGATCTAAAATGTGTAGTGTACTAGTCAGAAAGGCACTTATTAAAAAGTCAAAAAATAATAGATGTTGGAGAGGTTGTGGAGAAAATGGAACATGTATCCACTGTTAGTGAGAAGTAAATTAGTTCAACTATTGTGGAACGCAATTTGGAGATTTATCAAAGATCTTAAAAAAGAACCAGCAATCTCACTAGTGGTTATATACCCAAAGAAAAACAAATTATCATACCAAAAGACACATGCACACATATGCTAATTGCCGCATTATTCACAATAGCAAAGATATGGAATCAACCTAGATGTCCATCAATGGTGGACTAGATAAAGAAAATGTGGTATAGGTACATAATAGAATACTATGCAGCCAAAAAAGAGAAGAAAATCATGTCTTTTGTAACAACACAGATGCAGCTGGAGGCCATAATCTAAGCAAATTACTGCAGGAACAGAAAACCAAGTACTACCTGTTCTCACTTATAAATGGGAACAAAATATTGAGTACACATAGACACAAAGATGAGAACAGGCACTGGGGACTACCAGATGGGGGAGGATGAAAGGAGGGCAAGGGTTGAAAAACTAACTATTTGGTACTATGCCCACTCCGTGGGTGATGGGATCATGTATACAACAAATCTCAGTAACATGCAATTTATCGATATAACAATCCTGCACAAATACATCCGGACCTAAAATAAAAATCAAAAGAAAAATAAACGTGCAGTGTGAAGATCAGAAAAAGTCTAAAGTAACTTAAAACATGTGAATTGGAGAATCAAAGTCTAGCCAAAGTTGGAATTTACACTGTAGTTGAGTGAAAGAAATACATAAGATCTTAGCACTTTGCAAATGTCAGTGAGGGCATTGGATGTGGGATGACTGACATCAGAGTTACACTATCAAAAATGTTAATAACCTTGCTATTTAATAATTTTAGTCATACAGACTTGAAATAAATTATTTTATGACATATAAACTTTATAAATTATTTTACAACAGATACGCATAATGGTTTACAAGAGATATAGATGTTTTTATAATAAACAAGTAGCAAATATACACTAAAGCCAACATTCTGCTACTCAGGACTTTAAATTTACCCTCTCCCTTATTTTAAATGCACTGTTACCATGCACGATGAATTTCATAGAAAAAATATGGTACATGTACATCTTGGAATACTATGCAGCCATGAAAAGGAACAAAAGCATGTCCTTTGTAGCAACATGGATGCGGTTGTGAGGGCCAAATGTTTTAGTAAGAGAACTTGATGAGGTTTACAAGAATGAGATACTCATATGATCTGTAAAATTATTCAATCCTACCTTGGTCTCATTTGCACTGATGGTTGGGAATTATCTGACTAGCTCATATTTTGAACACAGGGGTACAGGAGTCTCTTAAGCACACACAGAGAAAATAAAATTGCAGTCAAGGAAGATAATGAAGGCATTGCTCTACACAATTTAAGCATGTGTTGAGAGAGCAAATTCCATTCACTCTCTTGAATAATTTCCAGTGTCGTGTGTGCCTGCTTTATTTTTGTCATTAGCATTTAAAAATATTACATTCATCTAATAATCTAAGGTAAGTCTCTTAAGGTAACCTATATGTCCACGATTTTTTAAGTAATAACATTACTTTATATACTGCAAACTTATCCCTTTACTTTTATAATTTATTTGTAGTTAATCTTTGGGGCACTTTTATACCATGACTGACTTTTTTTTTGTTTCTTTTAAACACAATTTGTTCCCTTTTACTCTGAAAGAAAAAATAACCCTCATGAACTCTCCACTATTCTAAAATTTCAGTTTAACCTCCAAGTAGAGCATGCATTAAAAGACTAAATAGCTAAAATCAAATTATTATTTAGCATTCTGAATTTATTTTATGTTAGAGAAAAATTAAGCCATGAGTGTCACAATGATAAAAGACTTTCCACAGAATTCATATAATTGAGTAAAAATGAACTTCAATAATATATTTTAAATGCTATTTTTTAAAGTTTCCTCTCATGAAGGAACCATTTAAAATAAGGATTAATTGATATATGTAGCTATTCAAGAAACATAAAATCTTAAAAAAAGGCACCTGCTGCGAGACGTGGTGGTGGACTTTTTTATTCCCAGCTGCTTGGAAGGCTGAGGTAGGATGATTGCTTGAGTTCACGAGTTCAAGTTCAGACTGGGCAACATAGGAAGACTCCATCTCTAAAAAATAAGAAAAAAGCAAATGCATGTACTGTTATGTCTATAAAAAATTGAGAGACAAAAATGCTGAATATTTAAAATGTAGTTCTTATGTTTAAGTGAATGTTTATTCCTTTCATTTTAGAAATACTTATTAGATATATGTAGGAGGTCAACTACTGAAATGAAAGGAAAATAAAGCTGTCACTCACTACTTATTTACTTTTAGGTTTTAGATATTTTAAATCTTGTTTTGTCTTTTAAAATATAAAGAAAACAAGAGGAAATAACTATAACCAAATTTGTTATTTATTAGAGATTGTGCTAGAAGTTTTGAAATATACTGTCTTTAAATCTCTAAAATAATCAAATATGGTGCAAATAGACACATTTCTAATTTAAAATAATGAGGTTTCAAAGAATTATATGTCTTTGAAGACACATAGCAAGTGTGTGATAAATTTAGAAGAGCATATAGGATATATATAATATAGAAGAATAATAATAAACATGATGACTCAAATGAAATAATGCATATAACATTTTTAGTAGTCCTTGTCACAGAGTAGTCACATAAAAATATATTCCCTTGCTGTGGTTCTAATACAAAAGTACATAAAGCAGAAGGCAAATTTTCTAGAAGCAAAGTTTGGTTTGCCTGGATTCATAGCTTACTTCGTTTACTAGCTAAACAAATTATTCATAAAAGTATATATAAAGAAATAGAAAATAGGAATAGACTTATAACTAGTAACTAGATTGAATCAGTAATCAGAACTTTCCTTAGAAAGAGCCCTGGATCAGATAGCTTCAGTGAATTTTATGAAATATCTCAAGAACAATTAACAACAACCCTTCTCATACCCTTCTAAAAAAACTGAAGAGGAGGGAATACTTTCTAATTCATTTTATGAATTACACTGGTACCAAAGCCAGATGAGGACACCAAACAAACAAGAACAACCACAGACCAATATCTCTTATAAATATCGATGGAGACATCTTCAGCAAAATATTAACAAACCAAATTCAGCAGAATTTCTTCTTAACATAATAAATGTTATACATGAGAAAAGCCCACAGCTAATAACATACACCATGGTGAAGGACTGACAGCTTTTACTCTACTACCAAGAATAATACAAGAATGTCTGCTTTCTTCATTTCTATATAATCTAGTATTGGAAGGTCTAGCCAGACCAATTAAACAAGGAAAAGAAATAAAAGACATCCAAATTGGACAGGAAGAAGTAAAATTATCTATGCTGACAGGTGATGTAACCATATATATATATACTTATATATATATGTATATATATATATATGAACTGGAACGTTTGCACATTGTTGGTGGGATTTTAAAGTGGTGAAACTGCTGTGAAAAATCATATGGTGTTTTTTCCAAAGATTAAGCCTGGAATTACCGTATGATTCAGCAATTTCACTTCTACGTAAACATCCAAAATAATTTAAAGCAAGGTCTCCAACAAATGTTTGTATACCCATGTTTATAGCATGTATATATATATATATATATATATATATATATATAGCCCTAATAATTTCACAAAAAAACCTACTGAAACTAACACATAAATTCAGCAAAGTTGCAGGATATTAAGTGAATACATAAACATCAGGTGTATTTCTATACATTAACAATAAACAATTCATAAAGGAGATTAAGAAAACAATTACATTTACAATAGCATCAAAAAGAATAAAACTCAGGAATGTACTTAGACAAGAAGGTAAACGATTGGTACATTGTGAACTACAAAATATTGCTGAAAGAATTTTTTTAAACCATGAATACATGGAAAGATGTTTTGTGTTCATAGACTGAAAAAATTAATATTGTTAAGATGCCAATACTACCCAAAGTGATCTACAAATCAATGCAACCCCTTTCAAAATCCAAATTTAGTTTTGCTGAAATAGAAAAAACGCTATCCTAAAATTCATATGGAATCTCATATAAATTTAAATAATCAAATACAATCTTAGGAATAAAAAAGAACATTTGGAAGACTCTCATGCCTTAATTCTAAAACTTACTTTAAATCTGCAAAATCAAAACAATGTAGTATTTGCATAAAGATAAACATAGACCAACAGAATAGAATAGAAAGCCAAGAAATAAACTCTTATATATATGGTCAAATGATCTTTCAAGACAATTCAAAGGGGAAAACATAGCGTTGTCAAAAAATGGTTCTGGGGGACCTGGATTTCCATGTGGAAAATAATGAAGTTGAACACTTACCTTATACTATATAAAAAATTAACTCAAAATGGAGCAAAAACCTAAACAAGAGGTTTAACTCAAAACTATTAGAAGAATATATAAGGTAAAATCTTCATGATGATGGATTTGGCAATTGATTTATTGGATATGGGATCAAAAGCACAGGCAACAAAGAAGAGACAAGAATAAGACAGACTTCATCAAAATGAAAAGCTTTTGTACCATCAGGCACAAAACCCATAATAATAATAAGAGTGAAAAGGCAACTCACGAAAAAAGAAAATATTTGTGTACAATAAATTTGAAAACAGATTAATATCTAGACTATATAAATAACTCCTAAAACTCAACAACCAAAAATAAAATAAACAACACAATTGAAAATAGGCAAAAGACTTAAACATAGATTTCTCCAAAGGAGATATACGAATGGCCAATAAACACATAAAAAGACACACATCACTAATTAATGTCACGAGTTATTAGGGAAATGCCAATCAAAAGCATAGTGAGATACTACTTAATACCGATTGGAATGGCTATTATACAAACAGAAAAATATGTTGGCAAGGATGTGGAAATACTGGAATGTTTGCACATTGTTGGTGGGATTTTAAAGTGGTGAAACTGCTGTGAAAAATCATATGGTGTTTTTTCCAAAGATTAAACCTGGAATTACAGTATGATTCAGCAATTTCACTTCTAGGTAAACATCCAAAATAATTTAAAGCAAGGTCTCCAACAAATGTTTGTATACCCATGTTTATAGCAGCATTTTTCATAATACTCAAAAGATGGAAACAACCCAAATATCTACACATAAATGAATGGATAAACAAGAGATGGTAAGGACATACAATGGAATATTATTGAGCTTTTTAAAAGAATTAAATTCTAATACATCCTACAACATGAGTGAACCTTTCAAATGTTATTTTAAGAAAAATATGCCAAACATAAAAAGACAAATGTTTATTATTCCACTTATATAAGATGTATAGAATAATCAAATTCATAGAAACAGAAAATCGCATAGTGTTTACCAGGGATTGTAGGGAGATAAGTTACTGTTTAATGGGAAGAATTACAATTTGGAATGATGTAAAAGTTTTGAGATTCATGGGGTCATAGTTGCACAATAATGTGAATATATTTAATGCTACTTAATTGTACACATAAAAATTGTATCTTAGTAAATTTGGTTATGTGTATTTAGCAAAACTTTTTGAGAAAAAAATGGGGAAAATAGTCTAATGTTTATCTGCAGTTTTAATAAAGGAAGCAGAAACTTTGCTAATATTTGTTGAGATACCTAGACACTGCCTGTGTTATTATATAACTTTTTTCATATAATTCCCATAATAATCTATACCACATATTTTGACTACTTTTTTAGAGTAAGATGATGTTATGACTCACACTTTGACCCACAGTTACATTTTATGTAATTAGCAAATTCAAGATTTAATAAAATGTTTCTCTGTCTCCAACATTCATGTTCATTTTAAGCACACTTTGTCAAATTTAAAGGGATATACATTTTCCCACATTCAAACATTAAAAGAGTTTTCTTTAAATAAACTCTGTTCCTTTTACAGATAAAAGGGTTATGGTCATAATAAATTAGTTATTATGACCCACTTAATTGTCACAAGCAAAGAGATGATCACAGTTTATTTATGTTTTCAGTTTTATGTTTATTACATGTACTAAGTAATTTTACAAAAGTTTACAAAATTTCTCAATTACTAAACTAAAATAAAATCAACATACTTTATTTTAATTGCATGCATTCATAGGTCATTGTTATTGTAACAGATATAAGAATACTATAGGTAATACAAGTTATTTAATTTAGCACTTTGTGTCTCCTAGAAGCATAAACAATACCAAGCTTAGAAAGTTAGAGAGGAAAGCATTTTTGATTAATGTATTATTTCTATAAATGGGTACTCTCAGTTAACCAACTGAATACATAAACGGTGATTGAGCAAAGACTCATCACTTTTAATTCGTAAATATATCACAAATTATAATCTACTGGCAAATACATATTTAATAAATGTTGATTAACATGGATTTCTAAGTGGAGATGTTAGAGCATAGTCCACATATAAAGCTATCGAGACCTTTATATTTTCATTGTAAATTACTTTCTAGTAAATTTACTTAGTATGAACAACCTGTTTCCTTAGAAGGTCATGTCAAAATAGGATATCAGGGAAGAGTGGAAATTTCTTAAAAAGTAACCTAGAAGCTGACATTTAAGAAGTATTTTCTTTAGGAAATGATGTTTTATGTCTCTACCAGGACCTTTGATTTTCAAATGTGTATGATCCAATATTGCTCTCAAATTGGCAAGTGGATCAGACAGATATTTGCTTCACATTTTTATTTTTCATCCAAGGGATTAAGTAATACATAAGGATTATGGCTCCTTTTGAAAATAAGTAAAAATAATCTCTATAACAAGTTTCTCAATGTTCCATACTTTTAAGTTATTTGTTACTTTTTGTTTTCAAGTGTACTTTGAACATAACTAAATATGCATTCTCACATAACAGCTGCTGAAAAAAGTTTTATAACAATGTAAGATCAATATTAATTAATTATATTCATCAAAACCACCATCAAGCAACCAATAGATCAATAGAGCAAAATTGTCCTTCCCCTTAGTTTTAAACTACAGTAAATAATAAAAACAAAATGAAAGCAGATCATTTCAATTACTCCCTCCAGAGCCGCAATAGTGCAATTCTTGTTTGGTTACCTCATCGTCCTGGAGACTAGGTCTTCATTTAAATGCTAAATTAGTTATTTCTGGTTAGAAAATATTGAAATAATATTTCAATTGAAATAATATAGAAAAGTGAAAACAACAATCAAAAATTTCATTTAGATACAAAGCATAAGTTTAATGGATTAGATGACAAGAAACATATTTAGGTATCACAGACTATTTTTTCCTCCTTAGCAGAGTTTCTTTTAACAAAATACTGATATTATAAAGATTTATTACTAGATAAATTAGTACACAAACAAAATCTCTTCAGTAGACAACGGTTTTCTTTTTACAGCTTAGGTCTTTTGACAATTCAAATATTGTTCAAATGTAGAACTGGTTCTTTATTTGAAATTTTTAATAAAAGAAAGATGTCAAATGAATTTAGCGAGGAACAAAGGGACATAAAGGAACAAAGCAGCTGGTAAATGCAAGGGCCGCAGAGTATCTTTCCTGGGAAGCAGAGAAGACAAAGTACATGAGAAGTAGAAGGCAATGAGGGATACAGGCTGTGATAACGTAGCTCATTAGTGGCTAACAAGGAGGTCACCAGTAAATACAAAATAAATGAGATGGATGACACAATATGTAGGGTGGTAAGGAAAATAAAATCTTGCTTATATACTGATTGTATTATTCAACTGCTAAATTTTAAACTGCTACTTTAAAGTGTATGTTGTGATACTTGAGCAAATGTGAGCAGTTTAAAGTGGTGTTTGTATCAGGCACATCACAGAATGGCATCTCTGTGTCAAATAGTATATCACTCTATTCCTTGTAAGTATACTAACCCTTTTTTTCAATTGCTGAAATAACTTTTTATAAAACCATAAATAAATATTGTCCCTTTTGTAAATACTATAGCTATTGCTACCAGAATGAGAGCACTAACAGCAGAGAAATAAATTATGCTTCTTTTTTCAGTCTATATTCTTCTTAGATTGATATGTAAACTATGTAAACGTTTTTCCACAACTAAAGCTACTCAAAACATGCCTATTGTGTGCTTATATTTACATAAATTCATAAAGCATCAGATTGATTAAAAATGTTGTCATTGGTTGGTTGGTTCTAATCAAAGTCATTGCACATGCTACTAGCCTTGGGGACAGAAGCTGAAGTGCATTGGTGAACTCTTGGTGAGTCTTTCCTTCATTTTACACATTGCTAGAGTTGTTTTGAATCATTAATCTTACAACAAAGGCAATAGATGTGTGTTCAATATGTAATAGTTTTAAGAGTTTGATACCTTTGCTTAATACAAAGAAGTTAAGGGATCAGAATGTGTGATATATATCCAGGATATGCCTAGTGATGTCTGTGCATCTCTGTCATTCCTGGTCAGAGGCAAATAATAAGACGTGGGGAAATTGCTGTAATCCTTTCTGAGGTTGCGATATGGCACATTTACAGGTCTGCATGAACAGTTGGATGCTTTCTCAGTTCATCATTCATGAGTTGTTTCACCAGACCTGTCAACAGTTATTCCTCTAAGGAGCAATCATCCACATCTTGCAATCCTTGAGGGCTACAAAGTCATCTTGAACTAGCAGTTAGATTGACGCTGCTGACTTGAGCCTCAAAATGGCACTTGTTTTATAACACAGCAGTTGCCAGACAAAAATAGGGTCCAGTAGTAATTGGGGAGCTCCAAATGTTTGGCATAGTAGTAGTCTCTAGCTTAAGCACTTGCCGTATGGCATTTTTCCTGGATTTTTTGAATATTAATGCTTATCATGAAGCATAAAAGATATACATCTTAATGAGCAAAACTGAAAAACTATTCTAATATTCTTGAACTGACAAGCTGGAGACTGAGCTGGGCTCCACACAGATGACATTTTTTTTTTTTTAAATGGGAATATAATAGCCTCTGGAGATACTGATCAGGACAGATAGATGTTTCTTTAGGTCTACTTAGACACTAGAGATTTATGATATGAATCTATTAGAATATATTTCATCTGCTTCTTAAATCTGGAACAAAGAAGTGCCCTTGATTTGAAGAGGAAAGTTTTAAAAAGCACATCGATGTGAAATAGATGGTTTGGACATTTTGCTGACACTCAGGAAATTTTTGTTTGGAAAGAAGCATTCTTCTTGCTTCTAACTTGATAGCCAGACTTCGATCAAATGACATGGGATATTAACTCAGGAAATATAATTTGAATCTAAAATTTAATTTCAAAGCCCTCATGCACTCTCTTTTTTTCCTTTATGTAAGTGTATTATTAATTTTAACTAAAGTCTTTATTTTAATTCACACAAAGTAGATGAACTATCATCAGTTATTGATGGCACAGTAAAGAAAAACATTAAAATAGTTATGATTTTGTAACTACACCTTGGTAATTAAGTTCTGTCATTTTTACCAAAAAATACAAGTAGCTGTAATTGGCATCAGCAGTATTTTGCATTTGCTCATTCTAGAACAATTATGCACTATTTGAAACAAAAATATATGTAACAAATTTATAAATTACAACACATAATAAAAATAGATATTAATACAATCAAAATCATTACTGATTTCCCATTTCATTGCCATGCCTCATTGTAGTTGAAACTAATCTGAAATTTTTTAAATTCAGAATTTTATTTGTATTGCTTTATGTATGTATTTACTATACGTATGCATTCTTATACAATGTATTATTAATTTTACTTCTTTTGAGCTTTAAAAGTATTTTCATACTTTATGTAGTTTTGATACTTTTATTTTATATTTAATTATTCAACATTCTTAAGTTTCATCCATGTTATTGCTATGACTTTTTTTTACTTAATGCCAATATCTTACAATGTGTTATGTTTATTTGTGTTTTCCAATACTTTGGGCTTTTTTCCAATTTTTTGCTAATGCAAATGATGCTGCTGTAAATATTCTGGTAGGTGTTTTCTAGTGCAAATTTGCATAAATTTATCTAATCCTATAAGTGCAGTTGCTAGCTTAAGAATTTACATGTATGACTTTATAAAACAATGACATTTGTTTCTTAAGTAATTTATCCAACTAGCAGTATACATAGTTTTCTATTTCCATCGTGTGTGGAATTGTTAAATATTGGCAGTCTTATGAATAGAAACTCTTCATTATACTCTTACTTTGCATATACCTAATTAGTAATGCAGTGTCAGCATTTATTCTTTTGGTTTTCTTGTTTGGTTCTTGTTTAGAGACATTCTATAAAACATAATGTTTTGTATATTGAAAAATATACTGGATAATAATACCTTTTCAACTATATGTGCTGCAAATATCTTCTCCAAGTTTTTGTTTTCCTTTTTCACACTTTAAAGAGTTTTTTGGTGAACATATGTTTAAATTTTAATATGGTTCAATTAGTAAATACTTAATGTTGTGGGATATTATTTTTACCCCAAAGCCAATAAGAAATTCTTTTATCTCATCTTTTAAAGGTTTTATTATTATTATTACTATTATTATTATTTGAAGTAGATTGCTGTGGAACTTGTGAGCTAGGGACCCAATTTTATTTTCTTTTTTTTCTTGTTTCGTGTTTTTCTTTTTAATGTCTAATCAATTGTCTCAGTGTCACTAATTAAACAGTCTCTTTTTCAACAATCATTTATTAATGATTGCAGTGATTCTTCTATAATATGTTAAATGACCTTTAATTCATGGAGTTATTGATTTATTTTGGAGCTGTTTTGTCTGTTCCTAATCTAACACAATATTAATTTAAATATTTTCGTCTTTTAAAACATCCTGATAGTTGATAAAAGAAGATGCCTTAAACTTGCTTCTCTTCCTCGGGGGTCTCTTGGCTGATCCTGCGCCTTGCAATTCCAAAAAGTTTTACAAACATCTGCTGAAAATGTGTGAGTAATTTCATTGAACCTATAGTAAATTTGGAGAGACGTGACTTCATAGGCCCTTGCCATCCACAAACACTATATATTTTTATTTGTGTCTTCTTAAATGTCTTACAATCAATTTTAAATTTTTGCAATCATACATTACTATAATTTAGGTTATCCAGAGATGACATTGTAACTACCATGGTGAGTGAAGTCCAATATTTTTCTTTAGAATTCATTTTCCAAGTATTATTTTAGTTCTCCAGAAATGCAATCAATATTTTTACATTACTATTACATTTAGCAACTTTCTTAATATCTGTTTTTATGCCAATAATTTTAATGAATATTATTTCAGATTTTCTTTGCAACCATATAATCTCTGCATAATGAGGATTTTATTTCTTTTATTTTAATCCATATAAACTTTATTTATTTCTCATGTCTTACTGTATTGGATATGTCTACAAAGAATTTCAAAAAATAACCCAGGCACAGTGGTGGATTCCTGTAATCCTGGCTATCTGGGAGACTGGGGCAGGAGGATCACTTGAGACTAGGGTTTGGAGGCTGCAGTGAGCTATGATAGTGCCACTGCACTCCAGCCTGGGTGGGAGAGTGAGGCCCTGTCTCTATTTTTAAAAACTGAATTAAGAATTAAATAAACCTGCATTTATTAAATTAATTATTTCTTTGGTCTCTTAATATGATAATGTACTTCCTTTTTTAAAAAAATTTAGTTAGGAAGCACCGTTGCAATTCTGTAATAAACCAAGCATAGACAAGATGTAGTACATTTTCATGCACTGCTGGATTCAGTTAACTAAAATTTTGTTTGGAATTTTTGCATCTATATTTAGAAGGAGAATTGATCTTTAGTTTACCCTTCTCATTATATCCTTTTCTGGCATTGATAACAAGGTTACACTAACTTCACATAATGACTTGCATCATATTCCTTCATTTTAGTTATTTAGTAAAATTTATGTAAGACTTAAATAAGGTTATAATTTGTTGAGAAAACATTTTGGTCCAAGAATTCACTTTTTTGAATATTTTAAAAAACTGATTCAGTCGGTTTGTTTTCAGGAATATTTGAGCTTCATTTTTTTAAATTGTGATATCATTGAATTTCTAAGAATTTCCATTTTTTTAAAATAGCAGAAGAACTGTTTTCACTTTGTTTATCAAGGAAGGCCTGAAACACACACACACACATATACTTATTTAAAAATTTCTCTTTCTTTTTGATCTATTCAATATTAATATTTAGAAGACAATTTCTAAGTGTATGCATTTACACATATATATAATTATTTAAAAATTTCTATAGACTTTTTGATCTATTAAATATTAATATTTAGAAGACACAAATTCTAAGTATATGCATTTACATTATTGATAAATTTAATTACTACATAATTCATTTAAATTTTATTCATGATCTAATTGACACAGACTTTTTGAAATTTTGTTAATATCTATCGCATTCATGACCTAGTATTTGAACAACTTTGTGAGTGTACTTTATTCTTGAGGAAACACATTTTTCGAGAGTTTCAGAGTGCTACATATATATATATCTTTTAATCTAGCATGATAATTATTATATACAAATATATATAACTACCATGCTAGATAATTATATATATATAATACTGTATATATAGTATTATATACATACTAATATTTTTGTGATTTTAGCTTCTCAATGTTTGAAAGAGGAAAGTTGAAATCTTTCACTATGGTAGCGGTTTTGTTTTTCCCTGCAGCTCTATCAACCTTTGCTTTATATATTTTGAGATTATTTAAGCAGAGGCTGCTGGTTGTACCCCCTTGCCCAGCCTGTTCTCTACTTCAATATTATAGGAGCTGTACAGATTACCATTGCCAGCCTCCTTTGCACCTATACATGATGTTATCACTAAGATACAGCTAATGGCTAATGGAATATAAGTAGTGTAATATGGTATCTTCTGAAAGTTGTTAAAAGATACTTGGCAGAGACCTTTTGTCTTCTTTATGGTCCCTTCTAGTTTACAGCATAGGACACGAAATTCTACCTTCTTGGACCATGATGATGAAAGCTATACCTAAGTGTGACCAACAAATGAGGTAGAAGAAGTCTAATCCCTGAGGAATTGAGGCGCAAAATTCTCTCACCAGCACTGGATAGTCCTAGCTGTTCTACTTTAGATAAATAAGAGGAAAATAAACTACTTAGCCATTACTATTTCAATTTTAGAACACATGGCTTTACCTAATCCTAACACTGCTATTTTAATAGCTGTAAACAAATATAGAACTGCCATAGGGTTCCATTTAATTGAACATTTATCATTATGTAGTGACCTGCACCTCACCTTCCTTTGTATGTATTTGTCCTAAAGTCTTATTTTCTGATATTAATATATCCACTTGGGTTTCTTGTTCTAATCTGTATTTAAACAATTTTTATGGTCTCTATGTTTTCTGTATACTGCTCGTAAACAGTATTGTGAAATGTTGTTTGATTTTCCACAATCTATGCTTTTGTTTAATTGACAATTATAGTCATTTTGATGCTTGACACATTTTGACTTACCTCTATTTTATTTAGGGTTTTTTGCTTTTTCTACCTTTTTATGACCTGATTTCCTCCTTTGTTTCCTTTTATATATCAACTGAAACATTTCTTTTTTTCCATTATTTTTCATTGATTTTTACTTTGTAAACCATGAAAGTTTTGAGTTCTGGCTCTTATTTTCAATTCATTCTCTAATATTGACCTCAGTCACCACATGAATGATTAAAAGACCTTAGAACTCTTTCAACCTGATCAACCCTAGTCTGTTTCACAAACAGACTAGATTTCATGATTTTAGTTCCTTCCTTTTAGCTAAACATATTTTATATTACTTTTATCATTGTATAAAAATAACATTTTGATTTTCATACATTTATATATTTTTTCGTGGCTTAAGCAACATAAATCTCTTATCTCACAATCAGAACTTAGAAGTCTGAAACCAGGTGTCAGCAAGCTGTTTCCTTCTGAGGGCTGTTGGGGAAGAATCTGCTCTAGGCCTCTAGGTTTGTAGATAGCATTTTCATGTTCACCTCAAACCCCTGTATTTTCACGTCTTTACTATACTACTTTTTTTTTCAGTATTATTTCTTGCAACACAGACCGTTCGGGATTTCTTTTTCTTCCTGAAATATATCATTTAGAAATTTCTTTGGGTAGGAAATATTAGTAGTAAAATCAAGCCTACTTCATTGCAAAATATCATTATTTTACTTTCAGTATTAGTAGATAGTTTTGTTGTGCCAGTGAATCTAGGTTGATAGCTGTTTTTTCTGTCATTCTGAAGAAATCACTCTACTGTCTTCTGGCTTCCATTGTTGCTGTTGACAGCTTTTCTGCAGATCTGTTTGTCTATGATGTCATCTTTATTGCTGCTACTGGGCTCTTCTTTTCATCAAATGTCTCTTGTAATTTTAGTATTTATTATAATGTTTCGTACAGATGATGGCCTCACCAAGTTTATATCTCATCAATTCTAGGATTCAATTTAAAAGGTTTTCATAGGCAATAAGTTTTAGTCAATATTATTGAAATCTCAATATTACAAAAAAGCAAATTTTCTAAAGAAGGAGTATTTCCTCTCACAAAAAAAGAGGCCTACTGCTCACTTCAACAGTACATATATTAAAATTAGAATGACACAAAGATTAGTATGGCCCCTCTGCAAAGATGACATGCAAATTCATGAAGCATCCTGTATGTTTTATATATTTAAAATTTATTAAAGGAGTAGATAGATATTAAGTGTTCTTAGCCAAAAAATAAGCAATAAATGAATAAAAACTACCCCCCCGCAACAAAAATCTATCTATGTCAAGTGATGTAGATGTTAATTACTTTTATTTTGGGAATCATTTTACAAGATATACTTATATCAAAATACTGTATGTATTGTGCACCTTAAATAATTAAGTTTTTTGTCAATCACACCTGAACAAAGCTGAAAACAAACAAAGCTGAAAAAGTATGTAAAACTTTTTTTTTTTTTTAATTTGTCTTATTGGTGCTAGGTAAAAGAAAATCTGTGTGGAATTTTTGTGGCATTTATGTAAAACAGGGAAATCATTTTGGAGAAAACAAAGACAATTTTGCATAAGAATAATGTTTTTCCCTTTTTAGTCTTCAAAATTAAATATTAATGAACTCTTTCTCAAGTTTGAGCAGGTGCTAGGCCATTTTACTTTGCAAGCAAGATAGGAGTAACAAAATATAAAGAGAGATTACTGCTTTTCCTGTGAGCCTGCAGGAGGTGTTTCTGGCTTATTAGTTCTAACTTAATTATTACTTCTACTTTTGGGAAACAGGTAAGATTAATGTTACAGAAATAAATATTTAAGTGATCAAATCAAATTATTCACAGATTTGTAGTTAAAATTTCACCTTGAAAATAACATCTCCATTTCAAAACATTGTCTTAAAAATCTACGACCGGTTCATGCACTCATTTATTTATTCAGCAAGTGAGTGTTAATCTCATGATGTAGACTATAAATCTATGGCTGCTTTCTTGGATTTTTTTTTTTGACACCTACTGAAGAGATGAGCTGCAAATATAATAGAGAACCAATTTCAATTAAGAAAAAAAATTATAGTCATTACATGACTATAATATAAAGCAATTATTTGGAAAATACTTACGGTAGGGAAAATAGTTGTAAATGTATATATAATTGTATTCTATGTTTTTGAACTCTTACATATTTAGATATTTTTCAGAAACCAGAATTAGGTTAAGTAGAATTCAATGCCTTCCTTGAAATATTGATCTGGTAGTTGCAAATTATTGCAAAGTCCTTATCCAAAGTCGTTTTTGCTACTGCTTATAGGTTCATGTCAGGCTTCAGCGCTATTGTACTAAGCTCAGAAATAACCCAACTTCCTACTGAGAATCCTTTATAATGAGAGCAATTTTAATTCTCAGCCTCCCACTGTAAGCTGTTCTTACTGTGAATTTGTTTCATTGATAATATTTTAGCTTATCTTTTTAAAAAGTAACACTTATTTCATCTTTTGAAATATCTTTGATGTTTTTGAAGGATTGCACTAAGCATAGCAATGATTCATAATTTTCTTTTTTGCATTAAAAATTGTAAACCATCATGGTGAATGATATTTAATACTCTTATGTATTAGTATTTTGAAGTTGAATTAAATAGCATAAAGTTACCGTGCAAATAGTGTAAAAATATTTATTACGTATTAATATTCATTCAGGATATCAGAGTTTAACTCAGAAATCAATGTATCTAATTCCACTGCTGGTTAATGAAGGGATGTGACTGTGAGTTACAGAGAATAAATACAATTATTTTTATTGACCATTTTTGTTTTAAAATAAGGATCTATGTCCACAGGAACAGAAAATCCTTGAACTAGTTTACTGAAAAGAACAAATTTTCACTTCCAAAGTTTGGGTTTTCGTGTTACACAGAATCACTTTCAAATCTCAACCCTACTTGCCAAGCCTTTGGGTAAATTTCCTGATCTCTGTAAGCCTCAGTCTCCCTATCTCCCCCAAGATTTTCTTTTTATAACATGTAGTTAATGATATCATTCCTAGCACAGCCCCTGGCACATGTCTCAGCTACTTTGAAAGATTTCACTCCCCCCACATCTTTATTTCAGACAGGAATATTTTAGAGACTGATAAATCGGAGTGGTGAGTTAAAAATAGGTGGAAAAAGTCAGAAAGTCACCCCAGGCTAATTTTACTTTGCTTCTGTGTGCCATGAAAACTCGGGATACTTATCTTTTTTATTTTAAGTTGTATTTATCTTTCTCTGTCTTCTTTCCCTGGAATAAATCTTCAAGCAAATACATGCATTCAAGTGAGAGGGCTCCTCAACACTTAAGGCTGTCATTTCACTCAAGCTACGATATGTTAAGAATCACATGGATTTGATTTTGAATCATAGTTTTCCTCCTAGAACTTATGGGTTCTGTTTTTTTATACCACAAATTAGGATAGCAATATCTAAATTATGAGGTCATTGTGAAGATTAAATTACAACATACGTAAACGTTTCCAGACAAAAGGAAACAATGCAAGAGATGCCAACAATTTTTAGTGTATGTTATAGTTGAAAGTAAGGTAAAGAGATTATACCTATGTATATGTAAGGGAAAAAATAAACTGCCCTCTACCGTTCTGAGTTTTTATCTGGGAACCCTATAATAAAGGACAGATTAACAAGAGAAAAACAAACAAGAGTTTTATTGACATTAATTTCTTATATATATGGGAGATACCCAGGCAATAAGCAATTCTCAAAGACTTAGAACATCAGCTTATATGTCATCTTCAACAAAAGGCAATTCAGTTTTAGAGATATGAAAAGACAAAGGCAAAGGACCTTAAGCCTTTAGGGGCAACAAATTGCGGCAAGGCAAATATAAGGAGAACTAATGGTAGATAAAGGATAATAAAGTTTGTTACATAGATTCCTCTGGATGAATAAGTCTTCAGGATAATAAGGGTCTAAGGTTGTCTTTGCTGATCAACTTTTGTCCTTCCCAGTATAAAGGGGAGAAGGGACACCTTTGTAAATTTATGCCTTGCTTTTAGGCAAATGGGGTTGGGGGGAGAAGAGGTTTTTTTTAGTATCAGCTTCTTTTCAATTGTCTTCAGCTCAAAGTAATCCTTATGCCAAATGATATACTTTGGTTGGCATATTCCGCTACTCTTTATTCAGAAGTGGCTTTAAGATCAACATTTATTTTCATGATTTATAAACAACTAGAAATAAAAAGTAAGTTACAATAATTGATTTTCATTTTTAGAATCTATTACTCTTTGTAGAGGAAAAGTATCCATCAAATATTAAGGTTGTGTTGAAATATACAAATAAATATATTTTTTATGATGAAATGTACAATAATTTGCATGATTGTCCTTACACAATATATTTCATTGTCTGTATTAGTCTGTTTTCACGCTGCTCATAAAGAAAGACATTCCCAACACTGGGCAATTTACAAAAGTAGAGGTTTAATGGACTAACAGTTCCACGTGGTTGGGGAAGCCTCACAATCATGGCAGACGGCAAAAGGCACCTCTCACATGGCGGCAAGCAAGAAGAGAGCTTGTGAGGTAAATTCTCCTTTTTAAAACCATCAGATCTTGTGAGACTTATTCACTATCACAAGGATAGCACAGGAAAGACCTGCCCCCATGATTCAATGACTTCCCACCGGGTCCCTCTCACAACGCATGTTAATTTAAGATGAGATTTTGGTGTTTGAAGATGAATTAATATTTTCATAATTTTCAGCAAAAGTGGGAATTACATAGTAATAGGGCTAATGCTTATCGAGTGCTGACTATGCTTATCTGTTCAAAATAACATACATGTACTGTCTGATTTAATTTAAATGACACATATACATGTTAGACAAAAATAAGGATAAAGAAGCTAGAGAAAGTGAGGGACAGAGAGTTTAATTAAATTGCCCATGATTGAAGGCAAGAAAATAGAAGCGAGAAGATAAATGCAGGCAGTTTGTTTCGGAGCTGGTAGTCCATTGTAATACTGCTACCTTTTTTAAAAATATTGATACAAAGTGAATAATTCTCCTTATAACTAGGTAATGTCAGCATTCAAACTTGAATTCTCTTTATCATTTATCTACATTAACTAATTATTGCAAATATCTGATTAACCTTTTTCTTTGTATACCTTAAATTATATGAACTTAGAAATAGTTTTTAAAAATAAATCTTTTTTTCCCCTGGGTTAAAGCAAAACAAAAAACATTAAACATTAACTTTGCCTTGCTTTTAGAATACTTGGTAAAAATTACATACCTGAATGACAAATAGAAAACAGGTTATGAAATATATGTGGAATTTTAATATAAATAGTAGCTGGGATAAATGGTCAGTTGTAATTTCAACTCACTACGTAATTGGATAGTGAGGAGAATAACAGCTAAATCTGCAGGGGAATATTTCAGTTCACTCTTTTAAACTGTATTTAGATCTATAGCAATTATAGTTTTAAACATTCTTTATATTTGTTTTTTTAATAAGAATGAATGTGGCAAGTAAGTTTTAGAAATTATACATTTGATAAGAAAATGCACTATTTGACATGCTTTTCAGTAGATGAGTAAGGCATGAAGGAAAGAGGATCATTACTATTAAAGAAAACAAACCTTATTAGTGCATAAGGAGCACTGGTTGTATTCTTCACGCTCAGAAGAAAAAAACTCCATGGCCTTCTTTGGATTTGCAACATGCTTTACTAATTAGCATATAAATAAATTACAATCTTATTTTGCGTAATACATTTTTCTTTTAGGAATTAGACCTATTTTCTTCATATTAAAGATTCTTCCAATTTAACCACAGAACCTGAACTTACAACAGAAGCTACACAACTCCGGTTTTGGACAGGATCCAAAAACCTTTAGAGTCACTCAGTCCATTTAACACTTGAAAAGTAAACCTGATTGAAGTCACCATGTGGCCATGCTCTGAGTGAATAACATTCTCTCTATGGACATGCATAATTCTCTCTAGGTTTAATACCAGTTATGACTTTGCCTCAATAGAATTCCCCAGGGCATAGATGCATGGTAGCTGTGATCATATTTACTGTTAAAATGTTACTATATATGAAATAAGCCTCAATATATGCAAATGAATAATAATGAGAATGTCACAGATTCACGAGGGCATAACAAAACAAAACTCTTGGTAGATAAAGCATTTTCATTAGGAACCAAAGAACTTGCTGGCTCAAAACCAGTAGTAAAAAGGATGATTTTCTTTAGCATAATAAAATATTTTGAGTGCAGAGGTCATGAAGAAGGACATAAAATTCAATCAGCTGCTTCTTAGTTATACAGCACACAGGAACATAAGACTGTTCGTCCAGTAAAGAGGAGATTTTGTGCAGAGGTAAGTACTTTGTTGAATTCAGTTCTTCAGCAGGAGCCCTATTTGGGTTTGTATGTGGCTTCACTATAATTTTTTTCAAAGTTTTAGGAAAATCAAGATTAAGCAATCTTGGATTTTTAACTGTTATACTGCTAGAATTCTGCACAAAATATAATAAACATTTAAAACTGATTGAAGCATATATTCAGGAAAATTAGGATGAAAACTTTCTTAAAAAACTTTATTTTAAATAATAGATTTAGGGGGTACGAGTGCAGTTTTGTTATATAGATATATTGTGTATACATGAAGCTTGGGCTTTAATGTAGCCACCAACCAAATAGTGTACATTGTACCCATTAAGTAATTTCTGATCCCTGCCACCTACCCACCTTTTTAAGTTGGCAATGTTTATTATTCTACTTTCTATGTCCATTAGGATGACAGTGTTTTAAGGAACACTTTCCTGATAGCATACATACATAGACAGCATTTCAGTGGACCAGTGGGTCTCAGTCAGGGACCATTTACTTCCTGGAAGATATTTGCTTCCCTGGAGACGTGTTTGATAGCCACAACTCATTGGGAGGGGTTGACAGTAACATCTAGAGGCCAAGGATGTTCCTAATCATTCTACAATACTCAGGACACTTCACACCAAAAAATTATCCAGCCCAATATGTCAATAGTGTTGACATTGAGAAATCCAGCAGAAGACTATTTTATAAGCATACAAGTTACTTTTATAACTTAAACCACTTAATCATTTGAGGTTATTATATATCCATACTTTTAGTAGGTAATGTATATATGTTGAGAACTAGTAACTCATATAGATTTGAGTTAGAAGGCTTCAAAATATCAAAAAGCATTGCTTTTTAAATAAATAATTTCATAAGTGACTTTCTTTTCTGAGAAGATGGAGAACTCACTCACATTTCTAGGTAATTGATGTATGTAGCTTAACTAAACCTATAGTTTATTTTTCATTTAAAATATGACATAATCACATTCAAGAGTGCTGACTGAGAAACAAGAATAATATTTTGAGTGCATTCTTTCTGTGTTTTTAGGAAAGCAAACACAGAGTGTTCATGCCACAGGGGCCTTTAGAGATCACCTATTCTAATCCTCATGTTTTACAGATAGGGAGAATAATATTCAAAAGGCGGAAGCGTCAATCCATGATTGTACAACCAGTCAGTAGTGAAACCAGGTCTGCAGTTACTTTATATAATATCACTATCAAAATGAGGTCACGATTTGATGACTTCATAAAATTGATTCTATGTAGATTGAGATGTTATATTGAGATGATTTATAATGGAATTTTGCTCAGCTGCTATAGTTTGGAATTGTCCTTCATGACTGACATGACCTCTTTTGCCATCTAGATAAGATGGATCTTACTACATAATGATTTTTTTTCCTTCCCCAAAATGTACTTTCTTTGTGCTAGCATTACATTCCTACTGGAAACATCATTTTCAAGTCACAATGTGCCATGTATAATATTCTACTTTAAACCATGCTATGCCTTGAAAATTGTACAAGTGTGTGCCTGTATGTCAGAGAGATTAGGAAGACAGTCTCTAGAATTTCTTTCCTATCCACAAACTCATTAATCTTTTACATTTGTAAGGGAAAAAAGTCTGCTTTCTATCCTTGAACAATAGTCTGCAAATATAGACGTGCAGGTTTTTTTTTCCTTATTGTTGAGCTAATTCTCCTGAGTTTTGTGACTTAATATATTAATAGGGCCATAAGACCAATTTTTTGCCAGTTTTAATTTTTACTTAAAATTCAAGACTATTGGTGCTATCTTTAAGTAGAGATTGTAAAATTATTCAGAACTACCCATTTTTCTCTAGAGGAGATTGTAAGGTAATATAGCATATCAGTTTGAAGAGAAAGACATTACAGAAGTTTGACCTAATTATTATAAAATTATACTTCTAATTGTGCTGAGAGTATCATCCTAATTTATCACTCCTTTATATAATCTTAAATAATATTATTTTATCAATGCTTTCATTGAAGCTTTTTAGTAAATTAAAGCCTCATATGCAGGAAGCTACAGTATGATATCTTTTGACAAAATGAATTCTTCTATTTGCATAGCCTAAACTGAAATATATTATCAAAAATTCATTCATGATCTAGTAACCAAAATTTATTAGAAAAGATTCAACATGTTAATGTTACATTGGCCTAATAAGAAGGCCTTAACATTTAAATGGCTGCTTCATCAAGGAAAATATTGTCATGTCATCAGCTGAGTGTACTGTTATTTTACAACTATCTTCTGGTTAAAGATAATTTTAGAAGACACTACTAGTTAGATTATATGATAGATAATATGTAAATTTTCTCTGATATAATGTTCTTATTTTTAGTAAACCAAAATGAGTTATTTCAAGCAAAGTATTTCGAAGTTGATACCATACTTAAGAGCAGAGCTGTTATCAGAATGTCTTCAAGCTATCTAGGGATTGAGGGTGTCAGTCGATTCATAGCACTTATTTCCTTCCTTCCTAAATTAAAGGCTAATTGAGAAATAAGACACAAGAGACAGTTAGATGGATATAAATGTATAAACACACAAATGTATAGGTCACTTTAGATTTCTGTTTAAAAGGGTTTTTTTTGGTATTATTCTTTCCATTTCCTACATTATCGCCATTTTCTATACTTGTGAATATCTTTGAACAACCCATCTCTCTGAGGAAAAGACTGTGTCTGCAAAGCAACTTGAGCTTTCAAGACAGCTGCCTCTTCTGGCTGAGTTGGAAAAAAAGAAGCAAATGCTCTGTAATTGAAAACTTTCAATGCTTTAATTCTACAAATTCAAGACATATGAACCTGTTAGTGAATGACAGTCTTGTTATCAACCAGTCAGGTAATCAGTAAATACAGAAACAAAAGCTGGTGAGAGTCATAAGGGTAGTATTCTAACACAAGTATTTTCATATGAAATCAGAGAGAGGGAGAGTTCCCACCAACACAATATATTCCAGTAAAATTTATTTCACTTAATTGATTGGCTATTCCCAGATAAGATACTTTTATCCTCCTGGTAGTAACTCATAAATTTTTTATCCCCTCAAAATGAGGAAAAAATGTCAATGTGTCTTCAGGGATTCTACAGCTCTGCTGTTCAAAAATGGTTATGTGCTTGTGAGGGATATGGAATTACACAGACAAGAGAAATTAGCAAAAAATTGAGTTGATTATGATGTGGAAAATATTTACATGAAAGCACTGATTTTTCTCTCTGTTTAACATTTATAAAAAGAATCAAGAGTGTCTTGATTAAAGGCTTACTTTTGTTTAGATCTTAAGACATTTTTTGTTAACTTCTGTGCTATTCAATTATGCTGATGTAAATGCCCATTATGAGGTGCTTTTGGATTTTCGGAATCTTATGCTCATTTGTCTGAGTCTCACTGAGGTAAATTCAGACAGACTGTAGAAGTGTACAAGCCACATCCTATATATTTTCCCCTAAATTAGTGAAGCTACATACAGGGAGATAAAGAGAATAAAAGTGAGAGTATGAATTTAAGTATTTGTGGTTTATTTGGAGTAATTTCAGTAGAATACTAGTTAACTATTTCATCATCTTTTTTATTTCTGTGATGATACAGAATTATAATGTTAAACTATCTTAAAGGAACATATTTGATAACAAATAATTATTACAGAATATGGGATCCATGGTTTATAATAATGTTTTCCCATTCATGCATAGTTGGTAAAATAATGCCTACATTTATTTATCTGGTTTATTGACAGTGTCAGACATAACACAAAGAAGCAACATTTAGACTAATGAAATGTATGTTTTTTCAATTGATCTCAATTATTTATTTGTAGTACTTTGAATATATAAAAAGATTGAAGGTGCTTTATGTTTCTGTGTATGACTACAGGAGTATATGTAATTTAGAGTTCAAGGCATTAACTAAAATACTCCGCTTCACAGGCTAAAGAAAAAATATAAAAACAAGCTAGCCATCAGATCTTTACGATTCTAAACCAGAATATTCTGGCATGCTGAGGAGTAGTCTCTACATTTACCTACAGGAACTAAAAAGCACACAGAAGGAGACCTTGTAAATTGCCGTCCATTCCAGGAGTGATCCCAGGCCTTCCTTTTGGCACCAGACACATATTTACTTGTTCAAGTGGAGCTCTGTGTAAGATTTCATGACCAGAGTTTAGGTGTGGGGTGGGGAGACTTCTGCTCTGAATCATGGAAGATGGCAGTCAAGTATGAAAATGTATATTCTTCTTCAGTTTTCAAAACAGATATAAAATAAATTAACATTTTTATATTTATCTATATTTGCTTGGTAAGTAAACTTCTGGTTAAGCTCAATATGATTCCTAGGAGAAACAGAATTAGATGCATAGAGAACATCCATCCTCTGTGTGTGTGTGTGTGTCTCTCTCTCCCCTCTCCTTGGCAAAGAGCTCTCTGTCATGCTTCTGCACAGGACAGTGAAAGCTCTGACCAGGCTAAACTAGTGTGAGATGGCAAGGCCATGACCTTATTAGAAAAGCCTCTCTCTGAAGTCTCAAACGACCCTAATACCAACGTTGAATTTGCCTGAGCCTGTCCTTTCTGATTTCCCCCAACACATTACACAGGAGCTCTCTGTCAAATTTGGTGCTGCCGATAATGAGCTAGTCTCTCAGACTTTTGTATTAAACGCAAGTTCTCCAGGAAACTTTTGAAAGTGCACAGGAAAAATACAGAGAAAATTGAAGACTAAAGGGAGTATGTTTCTGTTCTACAGCAATACATTTACCATGCAAAGCAATGTGTTTATCTATACTTATGCTTTTTGCTTCTATTCTATATTAACCTCATCTGATTTATGCTAATTTTTGCCCAAGATGACAACAGAAGCAGAGAGTTATAGTCACACAGAGTATTTCCTTTACTATTACTCCACCTGCTGGAATTGCCCTTCACTGACCACAGATTCCTAGGACTGAGATTTGAAAAATGTGAAGAGAAAAGGAATTAGAATTATTTACATGCACGGACAAAACTGTTTTCTTAATATTGTTTTATTTAATATGTTAGTAATTTGACAAGAAATGAATAATTTTACAGTTTGAGACTGCTCAGTAACAATATAGACTGTTTTTATTATTTTATATTCTCAGATTCTGAGTCCTAGTTGCATCATGTAAAGTCTTATTTTGATATTAAAATGCTGAATTATGCATTATACAATATGTATCATTTGCTTATCAAACAGGTATGCATGCTTTTGTTATCATAAAAATAAAATGGAAATATAATATGTATTCGCTGATGTTTCAGAAATGTGTTTACATAAAACAATTCTGGAGGAACACAATATTTTATGCAGACTAGTCCTATATATCAAGGTAATTAAAATAACTTTGTTATGAATATAATATAGGAAATTTTGAAGTACTACAAAGTATAGATTCTAACTTAATAGGCTTTCCAGTTTATTTAGATTATATCATGGAAACCCTCACCTATATACATATTTGCATTTATTTTTAGAAGCAGTTTACCTAATTTGCAATTTTGGGGTATCTGAAGAACACAATATAATTTTATTGCATTTAATTAGAATTTAATTGGAGTTAGTCTCAAATATGATGTGTGCATGGGGCACCTAATTGAGCAGGTAATTTGTCCATAGTCACACATATTTAAAATTGTATCTTAAAATAACATGGTGAGGTAAAATATTCTGAGATACTGCCAGTTATTTAGCTGACTCTACTTTACATTTTATTTATAAATGAATCAAAGTCAGCTGAATTTATGTATAAAGTCAATTTGAAAGTGATGTCTCTTTTCAATAATGTGGAAACAAATTGATACTTAACTAATGCTGAATGGTGTGTGTGTACCTGCATGTGTGTGTGTTTATATATGTGAACTCTTATGTCGTCAATTTCCACATTTTCATTATCTTTTCTTGAACGCACATAAATAAAAATAACAGGACAGATGACTTTATAATAGGATATAATGTCATTTTGGGCATCTTTCAACATATTCTTCTAACCAATAACTTAAGGAAGAGGCTGTTGATTTGATATTTTAAATTATTAAATAATAAAACAGATTAAAGACATTTTATATTCTAGTAAGGAAAAATGTTTATTTCAAATTAGTTATGGACTAACGTAAAAGATGCAAATAATGTGATTATTAATTACTGTCATAAGAAGTGTGGCAAAAATAAAAGATGGCCCTGTGTTGTTTTTGACTTAAAAAGTACCCTTGTTTGAGCACATAATAAAATTAAGTTCTTTTTCTCTGCAACCCAATAAAACATGTACCAAATGCAAGTGAATCAACACAGCTGGTTGCTAGCATTATGATTAGGGATGCACTAGTTTGGATAAAATAAGAACTGGCCTGAATCTCTGCCCAAAACTTGAACTAAAATGACACCAAAAAAAAAAAAAAATTAAAATAGTTTCAGAAACTCATTTTTTCTTCAAATTTCATATGCCCTGTTTTTACAATGAAAATTTGAGGACATCTTGTTACTTGATTAAATAGGAAGTACTAAAAAAATCAAATGAAACATATACCAAAATTTAATAATCCAAACTTAAAACCCTAAGTTGGATGAGTTTTACTGTTTTAAGTCCATTCATTTTGGGGTCTTTTTCTCTTTTTCTCAAGTAAACATTAAAAAAAAAAAGAAAGAAAGAAAAAAACTTTTACTTAAAGACAAAAAAAACCTTAAACATTTAAGTTTTCAACAAGATTTTTGGGGAAGAGTATTGGATATTTTATTGCATGCCAATGTACATTTTGTTTTATTTCCCATTTCAATGATCATTGCAGCATTGTTTAGATGAGTCATGTTCTGAGTAGACTGAATAAATACACAGCTGCCTGTTCTGCAATATGGATTAAAGTAGGGGTAAGGATCTCAATGAAAAGAAATGTGATTCAAGGTTGTATATTAGTATCAGAAACTCAATTGCCAAAAGAAGAATTAATACAGATGAGTAATCTAGAGGAATTCGCCTTACAGAATTAATTATTAAGGTTCCAACACTGCCACTTGCACTATCATTCACTTAAACTGGGACTCAGTAATAAATTAGGAACCACGTCATAACACTTCAGTCTTCTTCCACCTACTGACCAATATCTCAGCATAGGGTCACATGAATTAAGGCCAATCAGCAGTTACTGGAAATATAGATTTTTAAATAGAGCATGTAGAGAACCTCTGAGAAGCATATTACTCCTTGGACCAGAACAGGCTGAAAAGGTCAAACACAACTCTCCCTTTTTTATGGGAGGTGGTCAGCAATGTTCTGGAAAAGAGAAGGAAGAAAATGAGAAAAGTTAAAAAAAAAAAAAGAAAAGAAAAAAAAAAAGGAGGAGGCCGGGCGCGGTGGTTCACGCCTGTAATTTCAGCACTTTGGGAGGCCGAGGCAGGCGGATCACAAGGTCCGCAGATCGAGACCATCCTGGCCAATATGGTGAAACCCCGTCTCTACTAAAAATACAAAAAATTGGCCGGGCGCGGTGGCTCACGCCTGTAATCCCAGCACTTTGGGAGGCCGAGGCGGGCGGATCACGAGGTCAGGAGATCGAGACCATCTTGGCTAACACGGTGAAACCCCGTTTCTACTAAAAATACAAAAAATTAGCCGGGCGTGTTGGCGGGCGCCTGTAGTCCCAGCTACTTGGGAGGCTGAGGCAGGAGAATGGCGTGAACCCGGGAGGCGGAGCTTGCAGTGAGCCGAGATTGCGCCACCGCACTCCAACCTGGGAGACACAGCGAGACTCCGTCTCAAAAAAAAAAAAAAAAAATACAAAAAATTAGCCTGGCGCAGTGGCGGGTGCTTGAAGTCCCAGCTACTCGGGAGGCTGAGGCAGGAGAATGGCGTGAACCCGGGAGGCGGAGCTTGCAGTGAGCTGAGATCGCACCACTGCACTCCAGCCTGGGGACAGAGCGAGACTCCATCTCAGAAGAAAAAAAAAAAGGGGGGTGAAGCAAAAAATAAGGGAAAAGAAAGAGCAAGTGAAGCTCAAGGAGAAAGGAAGGAGGAAAAATAGTAAAATAGTAGCGGTTTCTCCAGTTTCTTTGATTTTTAGTTAAATATCTGTCCAAGGCTGTGAGACAAACCCGACCTGAGAGAGGTCTCCGTGCTCCTCCTAATCCGGACCCCAGCGTCCTCTCAGAGCCCTCCTCATTGCCCACAGCCACAGATCTGCTGCGTGTGGAGATGCTTTCTACGGTGTCTTCAAAACGAATGTCTACCATTCTTTTATCTCTTCTGAGTACTTGCTTACAAATGAATTGGAATGTTGAGGAAATTAATATAAGATTGCAAATAACTGCTTAACAAACATTAACTCAAGTTCTATGCTTAGGTCAGAAGATAATTTTGTACAAACCATGTATACAAGGTACTGTCTGATCCTCACTGTGTGTCCCTTGAGGAACTTGGGCATGGGATATCAGAGCTAAGATTGTTACACGAGTAAATAATTGGAATTTTTCTAATCCAGAAAACTTGTATTTTCTATCAGGGTAAATAAATAAATATTGATATTAAAACAGTATGCATTTTTCAAGTCCTATCATTTTCAACTCTCAATTACTTTCCACTTACTCGTTTTGTCATACCTATTCTAAAAATCTATTCAGCTAAAATATCTTTGTCCCATGAACACTTCTGGAAAAGACCTCAAGAATGTGCTTATTGTTGCCACTGAGGAACTATGGCCTGCAACCTCAAGTGGATACTTAGCACCATTTTGTGGTCATTCCAAAATTATCTAGGCTGAGCTTTCTCCAAAATTCCTAACAATTGCTGTTCTAAATGTTTACTCCGTGTTATGGACTGAATACTTGCTTCCCCCAAAAATGTATGTGTTGAAGCCCTAATCCCCAATGTGATAACATTAGAAGTGGACACTTTGAGTGGTAATTCAGTTTAGAGGAAGCCATTATATGGGCGCCCCCATGGATCAGTGTCCTTATAAGAAAAGTAAGAGATCAGAGCTCTTTCTGTATCTCTGCCATGTAAGGACATAGTAAAAAGGCAGCCATTGGCAAGGCAGGAAGATAGTTCTCATAGGAACCAAACTGGCTAACACCTTGATCTTGCACTTCCAACCCTCCAGAACTGTGAGATACAAATTTCTGTTGTTTCAGCCACCCAGGCTACGATATTTTGTTATAGCAGACTGAGCTGACTAAGACACCCTGTTCCACCAGATCCTTCATGTCTCAAAACACATGACTTCACTTTCTAATTTTCATGTAAAATAGAGATAATGTTTCCTGCCTTTCATATCTGTAAATGTATCTTTTATTTGTATGCACCTCAAAAGGTGAGACTCATCTTTTGATGAGTCATCCTTCAAGTTCCACATCCAGTTCACTTTAATGCTATGTTGACTCTATCCTCTAAATATATCATAAATACTTTTTTTCCCTTTGAAGCGTCTTGGCTACTGCTCTTGACTTAGTGAAGCCCCACATTACTGTTGGATAGCACTAGTGAATCACACACTTTAAAATAAAATTGGATTAGACCAGGTGCAGTGGCTCATGCCTGTAATTTCAGAACTTTGGGAGGCTGAGGCAGGATGGTTTCTTGAACCTAGGAGTTTGAGACTAGTTTGGGCCACAGAGCAAGACCATTTCTCTACAGAATATTTAAAAAATTAGCCAGGTATGGTGGTGTGTGCTTGTAGTCCCAGCTACTTGGGAGGCTGAAGTGGGAGGATTACTTTAGCTAAGGAAGTTGAGGCTTCAGTGAGCCATGTTCCTGCCACTGCACTCCATCCAGGGTGACAGAGTGAGACCCTGTATCTCAAAAATAAATAATAAAAATAAAATTGAGTTAATTCTGATGCTCCACAGAATGGAGTAAAATTAAAAATTGCTTTAAATATATATACACACATATATTTTTCTTGAGAGCAATTACTTTGCAATAGAATAACAGATGTTTAATTTCCTCTAAATAAATGTTATATTTATCTGTTCTAAATATATAGTTAACACTAAGTGGAGGTAATCAAAGTATTTATTTGTTCTTTTAAACTCTTGATTATTTTATGTTGAACCTGAAAACTTATTTATGTGTTGAGGTTCTAGAATTTGTTATGCCAATTACTTTATGAAAATAGCTACTATTTTACCCTGTTACCGATTCACTTACCAAAATTTGCTTACTATTTAGTAGTATATTTGCCAGTTGGCAAAAACTTTAAATACTTTGCAGACTGGTAGAAAATCTAAATCTGGGACAGTTCACATTTATCCCATAAAACATTAAATTGAATATAGCAATTAGTTTTAGAATCCAGGAAAAGAATATAAAAATTTACAGTATTCTTTCTAGGCAATTGTTTTTACAAATGCTGAATTCATTACAATGTTTTAAATTCAACAACAACAAAAGAATAATATTAACCATCTATGTGTTGTAGAGTACAAAACTTCCTATTCTGAAACAGGAGTATGTGCATCCAGTAAATGATGATTAGAGATACATAAAATATCTTTCTATTCTTTGCATTCTCTTGATAGTTATGACACATCTGAGCTGAGCTTGAAAGTAAGGTCAGGAATTAAAAATAAATGTCTAAAAAAGTCAAAGAAAATACCTGGATGTTTAAGAGTGAAAGGAAGGAGAAAATAGTTTTAGAGAGAAGGGATATGAGGAGCAAAAAAGAAAAGATACACGATTGGGACTCTATGTGGGGAAAAATTTAAATATATATATATATATATATTCCAGTGTTGGAATACCTAAAAAGATGTTTAAGTGGTTATTTCTGATTTTTCTTTTAAAGCTGTTTTATTTTTGTATTCTAAACTCATTTCATTGATCTAAGACCCAGAGAAGATGTATGGCAAACACAAGTGCTTTGTGTGATTTTGTATGTGTGTGTGGTTTTTTTTTTTTTTTTTGAAATTTAGGAAATTGAGTAAATTCCATGTATAGACAAAATGAGGAATAGAAATAGCATTCATAGAAAAGAGAGGCAGTGTTAAGTGGGATAATACAAAGCAGAACATCAAAAATCTAGGCAACATGAGAATTCATATCTCTAATAAAGAGGGTTGTAAACTTTTTCAGATTTAGCCTACCTTTC
This sequence comes from Homo sapiens, assembly GCF_000001405.40. Lineage (NCBI taxonomy): Eukaryota > Metazoa > Chordata > Mammalia > Primates > Hominidae > Homo > Homo sapiens. The sequence continues at coordinate 86,251,751 of NC_000003.12, forward strand.
AGAGATCTGAAGGGCAAAGATAACCCAGTAGACATCAGAGTTATACATCAATATAAAGTATACACTTTCAGCTGTAAATATTTGTTGATTTAAAGTAATAATTAATAATTCATTCAACAAATGTCTACCAAACATTTGCTGTGTGCTAAAGCCTGTGAATGAAAAGCTAATGAAAACAATACCTTATCTTCAACATCTCGACAGGGAAGAAGCATGTAGAAAGAGTGACAGTTGTGACAGGTGCTGAATTATAGAAATGCATAAGGGTCAGAGGAGCTCTGAAAATTTCTACCTTGGAACAAATCAGAGTTTTCATTAAGATATTAGCTTTTGAGTTAGGTAATGAAGAATTAGCAGGGCTTCTTGAAAAACAGAAGATATGAGGGCCAGTGCAAAAACACAGAGGAATGAAAATAAAACACAATGGTATGTTCAAGATGACCTAAAGTTTGCTGTAACTGGAGTAAGGTGTACATTTGACACAGAGGCTGGAGATAACTGTAAGCAATGCTGCCCAATTGAAATGTAATGCAAACCACACAGGTATATGTTTTCTAGAAGCCACACTTAAAAGGTAAAAATTACTAGTAAATTAATTTTAAGAATATATTTTATTCACCCAATATTCCCAAAATGTTATCATTTCAACATAGTCAATACACAAATTATTAATGAAACAAATTGCACTGTTTTTGAATTCAGTCTTTGAAACCTGATTGTAATTTCTATTTATAGCACATCTAGATTCTGCCTAGCCATATTTCAGTGCCTTTTAGACATGGTGTTAGTGATTTCTCATTGGACAGCTCTGTTAATAGTACATGACATAGTTCCTTAATTAAGGTAATATAGAGATCCATTTTAACAGAAAAAAGCATCACATACATGTAACAAAATTTCTCATGTACCCTATAAATGTGTACAAGTTTTTAAATAAATAAATAAAAGAAAAATATTCTCAGGAGTTCCCTACTTGGACAAATTATTTTTATTTCTGATTAATTTTATATACACTATTAAATATGTGCAAGCATAAACCTAGTTGAACATCTCTCAAGCTTACAGCCCTTATATGTTTATAGGATCCACACAAGTGTACATTTGTATAAAACGCTTACATGCCTATAATCAACATACATTTGATATGATGAATATGTTTTGCTTAAACGTAACCAATGCTTGAAGCATGCATAAAAACTTGGCTTCTTTGAGCATGTTCTTTTTAGCTCAACATCTGTCACATACTGATTTAAACTACTACATGGTTGCTAGTAAACCACGTAGTGTTATTATTTGTTCTTTCTAGGCAAGAATGGATTTTTTTCTATATGGAGTCACCACTTTTCTTTTATTGGTTAATCTGCAAGTTATAATAGTTCAATAAGGTGTCAGTGTGATTTTAACAAACTCAAGCAATGAACTTCTTTGTCAGTTGGCTTTTGGCTGTATGAGCAATCATTCAGAAGATCCAGATATATTAAATCTTGTAGATTATATCAAAGTGAAAACAAAATATTTATAAAATATGATAGAGAAGTCTTGAATTCCCTGTGATTTAGTTTGCAGATGCCCCTGCTTGGGAAATTCTGCTGCACGCTGCACTAGACTCTTTCTATGATATCTGAGTGGTAACAAGGAATCATTTAAAGTCCTTGGAGGTTTACAACATCATCTTTTAGTTTTAGGAAGAGAAATGCCTGTGAATGTAGATAGAGGTTGTACATATATGCAAGAAACATAATTCCAAACTCATGATATGTTTGATTGAGGGCTACAACATAATTTAAATATCCAAGTAGGTGTTAGCTTACTCACTGTGGGAGAGTAGCACTGTTAAAATACTGTTATTCAAGCCACATTTTTACATCCTTTTGGGGGGAATTGCCTTTAAAATGGCTTAGAGTTCTGAGACAAAGTAAATTCCATTGTTTGTAATCTCCAAACTTTTACTACCAAATTATTTTCAAAAAATGAAAACTCTTCACTACTGAGCATGATCAGCAGAGCAGTGAAATTTGAACGAGTCTATGGTCAGCCTGGGGTACTATTTTGAGAAAACAATATTCACTTGAATATATATGACTGGGAGAACTTTTTTTCCACGTTAAACAGAGTTTTGTTTGTTTGTTTGTTTTTGTTTTTGTTTTTGTTTTTTTGAGGTGGAGTTTCATTCTTGTTGCCCAGGCTGGAGTGCAGTGGCCATATCTGGGCTCACTGCAACCTCCGCCTCCTGGGTTCAAGCGATTCTCCTGCCTCAGCCTCCTGAGACATGCACCACCACGCCCGGCTGATTTTTGTATTTTGAGTAGAGATGGGGTTTCTCCATGTTGGTCAGGCTGGTCTCAAACTCCCGACCACAGGTGATCCACCTGCCTCAGCAAACTCCCGACCACAGGTGATCCACCTGCCTCAGCCTCCCAAAGTGCTGGGATTACAGGGGTGAGCCACCGCGCCTGGCTAAACGCAGTTTTTTAGCCAAGATTTGAGTAGCTCCTTTTTCAAATTTCTGATTCTTGCTGAGTACTTAAAAAATTGGTTATCAACTCTACCCTCAGTAAAATTAATAAATTTATTAAGTTTGATTATATATAGCTTATTTGCTTGTGAAAAAAGAAGTCTAGAAAACTATTCAGTACCAGCTTCTAGACAGACTTCTCTTGCTAAATATTGATATATTCTTTGTCTGCACATATATGTGAGCACAAATTTGACTTGATGCACATCCACTCAGAAATGATATAACTTTCTTTTCCTTGTAAAAAGTTACTCAGAAACTGTTATATATGTTACTGAAAGCAAGAGTTCCCTGACCCCACTTGCAGGTCGTGCGACAGCGGTATGGCTCCTCTCTTAGGCCACTGTGTGTGCTCAAAACCCTTATGGGATGGGGAGCACACAGATGGGCAGGCGCAGGAGCCCAGGGTCTGGGGTTTATATGGGTACAAGATAAGGGGGCGTGGCGGGCCAAAAGGCAACTTTGGGGCAAGAAAACAGGAATGTCTGTTTCCATTTAGGCATTTCAGGCCTGAGTTTCCAGGCTTGAGGGTGGGGCCTCTGCCAGGGAAGTGCCCTCTTCTACCCAGTATTTCCCTGTTTCCTGTCCATATCATTATTAAATAACATATTGACAAATTCACAGTCTCCATGATAAGATGCTAAATGTTACAAAATTTATGATTCCCTAAATACGATATTGATGACACATTCTCCTCTAAAATAATTTTCTCATACATCTATTTCTTGAATTTTATATTGAACACAAAATTCTCAATGTACCAAACAAATCAATAACATATTTATGTATGTTCAATAGAATTTTAAGTCCATGGTATATCAATTTGCTTTAGGAAAGTAAAAAAGTTCCAGGTTCAAATGATTTGAGGAAATTGTGAATTAAACCCCATTAAATAGATTAATACTGAATATCTTTATTCTCATATTATAATAATTTGTTTTGTGTCTTTTGGATAGGAGTCTATATCCTGCAGAGCTTTACAATGTTTTGACCAAGCTACCACTTTATTTTTCTACAGGATCACATATCAAGACCACTAAAAAAAAAATAATAATTCCTATTTTTTTAACATAATATTACCATCTGATGCTAATATGGATATTTACTGCATAGGTGGGAGATTTTCTCAATGTTCGTATAAAGAGTTTTTATGCTCATACCAAGGACCAACATAAAATTAAATAATATATTTGTAATATATCTGGTTTTATGTCATTGTATAAATTAATAACGATCATTAAATGACCTAAAAATAAATATTAGATCCTCAGCAGAACACGAAGTCCTAACGATAAAATAAGTTTGCTTATCATTGATTGAGAAAATTAATGCTTTAAACTATTTATATTAATAAGAAAATAGAATCTTTTTTTTTTTTTTTTTTTTTTTTTTGAGACGGAGTCTCGCTGTCGCCCAGGCTGGAGTGCAGTGGCGCAATCTCGGCTCACTGCAGGCTCCGCCTCCTGGGGTTCACGCCATTCTCCTGCCTCAGCCTCCCAAGTAGCTGGGACTACAGGCGCCCACCACCTCGCCCGGCTAATTTTTTGTATTTTTAGTAGAGACGGGGTTTCACCGTGTTAGCCAGGATGGTCTCGATCTCCTGACCTCGTGATCCGCCCGCCTCGGCCTCCCAAAGTGCTGGGATTACAGGCGTGAGCCACCGCGCCCGGCCGAAAATAGAATCTTTTAATAACTAAGATTATTTTATTACATATACAAGTATCTGTGATTGGGTTTATATTTTTCTTTAGGTTGGTTGTCTAAAAAAATAGTTAATTACCTTTGTTTGCTCTTTAATGACTTGAAAATATTTGTCTCGGATCTGCTATAACTGGATCAATTCATCCATTATTCAAGAAGTATTTATTAAAAATCTACTATTTGCAAACATGTCCTAAATGCTGAGCATAGAATGGGAAATAAAATCAAGTCATTATATCATGAAGTGGGGTTTTTTTGCATACTATAGTCAATAAGGAATAAACCAATAACTCTAATATTTCTAATATTGACAAGTGCTTTGGAAAAAGATAAAGCAGAGAAGAGGGCAAGGAAGTACCAGGGTAGGGGGTAGGGTTACAATGTTAAGTAAGATTGGTGGGGAAGTTGTCAATTAGAAGGTAGAATTTGAGCAAAGTGCTGGAATAGATAAGAAAACAAGCATTTATGTGTCTCTGTAGTGGAAGAATATTTCAGACAGAAGATAAGAAAGGACAAAGTCACCCAGGAGGAAATTTGTCTAGTGTTCTCAATAAGCAGCAGGTATGAACTGAGTAAGGGGAGGAGTAGTTGGGGAAGAGGTCAGAAAAGTAATAAAAAGGAAAATAGATCATGTAGGGCCCTGTAGGGTATTGAAAAAAAAAACTTGGCTTTTACTGTAAGTGAGATGGGAAGCCATTGGAGGGTTTTGGGCAGAGAAATAACGTTATCTGACTTATATAAGAAAACAGTTTGAACATTGTTGGGACTAGGCAGTAGGGGAGAAAAGAGGACTAGAAAGACAAGTTGGAATCGATATCAGTAATCCAGATTAGCAGTAACAATGGTGGGAACCAGGGTGTTCATGGTAGAGACAATGCAAATGGTCAGTTTCTGAGCATGTTTGAAAATAGAGACAATAGTATTTTCTGACAACAGGCTGTGGGTATGGCAAAAATATTTTAGCTTAATCACTTAAAAAGATCTAGTTTCCGTTTATAAAAAATAAACAGACACACCAAAAACAAAGACTGGAGAAGGTGGAAGGACCATGGGAGATGACTATGAGACTTCTGAATGGAAATATTGAATTGATAACTGGAACTCAACATAGAGTTCAGAAGAGAAGTCTGAAGTAGTGATACATGTACGGGGGTTGTCAGCATGGAGTAGGTCTTAAGGCAATGAGACTGAATAAAATTACCAAGCGAGTGAAGACAGAGAATTAAAGAGGAGAAAGGATTAATCCTTAAGGCCCTCCAATGGCAAGACAAGAGAATAAAGAAGTGCTCAAGAAGAAAACGAAATAACCAGGAAGGTAGGAAAGAACTATAAGAGTGATCTGGAAGCAAAGTCAAGAGTATGTTAAGATAGGCCAAGTCATAGGAGAATTGAGAACCGGTGACTGGTAGCTTTCATAAGAATAATCTTAAATGAAGTGGTAAAGACAACAGGCTGAACACAATGAATTCCAGAGAAAATGGAAGAAAGAAAATTAGAGAACCAATAAAGGGAACTAAACGTTGAAAGTTTTTGCTTTAAAAATAGAGCAGGGAAATGGAGTATTGTCAGAAAGACATATGGAGCCAAGAAGTTTGTATTTTAATTTTATTTTTTTAAATAGGGAGAATTACAGATAATTGATATGCTGTTGGAAGTAATTCAGTAGAGATTAATTAATAATGATGTACCAGAATGAGAAAAGAATTACTAAAGTCATGCCTTTTTGTGGATGAAAAAGAACAGGGTGAAATGCATATGGGAAGGATTGATCTCAGAACATAATTCATGCATAATAACAGAAGGGAAGGAGCATGGAGCAGGTAGATTGGTTGAAGCTGGTGAAAATTCTTTCCTGATTGCTCTTTTCCTGCTCAGTGAAATAGGAAAGAAGGTTACTGGGAGTGATAACTCGGGAGACAGAGCTAGAAGTCTGGAGAGAAATAGAAAAACAATAGCTTTCTGAAGAGCATGGGGTATTAATTGGATTTAGGAAAAAGCAGTTTGATTGTTTAGCACCACTAAAGGGCACACTGGAAGTTTAGTGATTATGAATTTAAAGTGTGCCCAGCACCATGGTTGGCTATTTTTCTCCAAGCATATTCAGCTGTATTGATACAGACATAGAATAAGCAGTGAGTTGTACTTAACTAGAGGTGGAGTTTTGCTAAATTAGTATGATGAGTAATAACAGGAGTAGAAAGTGAAAGGTCAGTGATCAATTTCCCACATGTATAACTTATTCACCTGGTACTGCTCATTCTAATATCATTATTCTTTAAATAATATTAGTAGTGAAATTCAACACTATAAAGGGGTATAAAGGTAGAATAAACAAATTCTCATTAAAACCCATTCTAATTCCAGGTTTCAGAGGTAGCCACTATAAATAGTTTTGTGTCTATCCTTCTAGACATTTTCTATGAATACATAAATAGGTAGATTTTTTAAGCAAAATATTGCTTCTCACTATTCATATGGTTCTGGTACTTACTTTTTTTCACTCAGCAATAAATCACAGGCAGACTTCCATGCTGGTACTTAAAGATCTATCTCATTCTACAGTGACATAATATGCTATTGTTTTTGTGAGGCGTAATTTATTTAAATAATCACTTTTTGATTTAGGTTATTTCCAGTTTTTGCTATTATGGGTAATGCAAAAGTGAACATCCTTATTCACAGAAGTTTATTTGTCCTTGTATTATTTCTCTAATGCAGATTACTTGAGGAAGGATTGCTTAGTCAGAGTATGTACTATTTCATAGTTTTTAGTAAATGAGTAGCCGAAAAGCATAACCATTTATTCTCTTCCACATTCTCATCAACACTAGATATTTAAAAAAATGATAATTCATTTAAGTATATATTTATTATTCTAAAGAGTTTCAGCACCACTTTTTGTTTTACATTTTTAAAACTATGAAACATTTTAAATATATCAAAAAATTATATAAAATACGTGTAGGTACTGATAAGTTTGAAATGATTTTAATAGTTGACCATTGCTGTCTCAGGTCTCTAGTTTTTTTTTTTTTTTTTTTCTATTTATGTCCTTTGGAAAATAGAATTTCCATATACAGTTTAATTCTGACCCTATATTTTCTCCTTTCTTTTCCCCACTTCAGATAAACATTATCCTGAAGAATTTTTTTCTGTTTAACGTATTATATTTCTTACAGTTATCTTTTCGTCTTCATTCTCCATTAGTATGTAAGCAACATTATGGCAGTGACTCATGTTCACTTTGAATCCCCAGTCCCTAGGATGAAAACGGCATATTTTAGGTACTCAATAAATAAATGTCAAAAGAATATTGAATGATTTAATAGGGGTATGTATTCACACTCATGTTTTACTTTTACCAAAACATATGTAACAATATTTTGTATATTCTACAAAAAATTATAAATGTAATCATAATGTATATTTGCTTTTGAAAATGTTTTTGACTTAACATTAGGTTTTTGAAACCTAGTCATGTTAATACTTTTTGATATAGTTCATTCATATGAAACTTTTGGTACTATTACAATACTTATTCTCATTAGAATGGTTTATTCATTTCCATACTAAGGAGCAGTTAGGTAGTTCTATTTAGGTTGTTTCTTACTTTTTCACTTACAAATGAGATAGCCAAAAAACAATTGCCCGGCCATAGAGTAATTATACTAGTATTGCTCATTCTTCTTTAAAGTTTTTGTATTAATTTATATCCTTCCAGAATTTGAGTGCGTCTACATCTTCACCAACTCTTTTTACACAAATTGTGCCAAACTAGTGAGACTAAATTGCACATAATTATTATTGTTTTATTACACATTTGCTTAATTCACTATCTGATTGAGGATCTTTCAAATTTTATTGGTTATTTGGATACACTGGGTTTTTTTAGGGGCCTGTTTATATTTCTTTTTTCCCCACATCATCACATCATTGCCTCTTCCTTACTAACTGAAAATATATCACATATAGTAAATATATGTATATACGTGTGTGTATATGTTTGTGTGTATTGGATACTATTCCTCTACCTAGAAATAGTCTATTTTGGTGATAGCACTTTTGATGCAAAATGATCATTTTTCAGAATTTTCTCTTTTCCTTTATAAAGCTATTTTTTTATTTTTTCTTACCCAAGGACATAAATGTTGTTTTATTTTCATCTAAAAAGTTTTATATGCTTGTAATAAACCTTTATTATTGATAAGTGTACATCTCCCATAATTTTTATAAACAAAATGAAGAGGTATCTGGAGATGATGAAGATCTGAAGGTATCTTCACCTGTCCTAGAATGCTCACTGATCAGTTCATCCTTTGTTATCTGACCTGTAATGTTCACAAGATTACATACAAAGCACCCACATATTTCTGTGTTAGTTACTTATTGATGTGGTAACAGAATACCACAAATTTCAGGCTTTTAAAGAATGCACATTGATTGTCTTAAAGCCCCAAAAATAGAAGTTCTAAATCAGTTTTACCATCTACAGTCAAAGTAATGGCAGGCTGGTTTCTCTTGGAAGCTCTGGTAGGAAAATCCATTTCCTTGCCTTTCTTTTAGCTTTTTGTGGCTGCCTGTTTACTTTGGCTTGTGGCCTCTTCCTCCATCGCCAAAACACAACATTCCATTTGCTACTTTCATCATCATATCACCTTCTCTTTTATGGTAATAAAGCCCTCTGCTTCCCTCTTATAAGGATACTTCTGTTTACATTTAAGACCCACTTGATGATCTAGATAATCTCCCCATCTTGAAATGTGTGATTCAATCACTTCTGAGAAGTTCTGTCTTCCATAAAAGGTATAATTCATAGATTCCAGAAATTACAATGCAAATATCTTTAGAACCATTATTTAGCCTACCACAATTACTTGTATAAAATATTTTTCTTTAATCAAGAAGAGACATTGACTACTATAAAATAGAAAGAGATGTCCTTCTCTAATGAGTTGATAGTACTCTTTGTCTCTTAAATATTTTAAATATAAAATCATGTATTCCTCAAATAATTTTGACTTAGTGATGATTTGCTAATATTTTATTCATTTAAATTATATTCTTACAAAACTTTTACACTTGTATTTTTATTTGAAACTTACCTACAATTTTTCTTAAAATGTCCTTATCTAGTTTTTATATCAAAGCAAGAATTAGTTGGGTATATTTCCTTTTGTTTTCTAATGTCTAAGTTTGAATAAGACAAATATCTTTTTCTAAAAGACTTTCAGATACTTCCTTGTAAAATGGCTGGATTTAGATATTTTTGAAATATTTATTGTAGAAGATGGGTAAGAAAGGATGAAGAATTGTAACTAATGACTTGAGTTTCTTAATGGCACAGGGCTGCTGAGATTTTCCTATAGCTTTTTAAGTAAGTTGTGAATAATTATATTTTGTCCAAAAAATCATTGACTTATGCTATTTCCAACATGATTTGTACTTGCTTTTTACAAGCCCTATTTTATTTACATTTATAAACCATTTGGTTTTAGGCCAATATTATTTCTGGACCATTCCCACAATGGCTTTCTATGTATTCTTTATTTGCATTTTACAGGCATTGATGTGTAGAGATTTCATGGTTGAGTTCTGAATATTTTTAACGTACATTTTAAGGTAAGTTCCCATAGAATGATTTAACATTATCACTATTATTGTTATTGATTTCTTAATTTTTCTGGAGTCAGATAATTAGGTCTGTTTGATTACTCTTTGCCATTTATGGAGACGTGGGTTTTGGTGGTCAATTTTTATTTCTTTTTAACTGGCATACTTGATTTAGCAAAGAATAAACTAAAAATCTCTAAAATTAACTAAAAAATTTAAGGATACTATAATGATGTTAAAGTAAATTTTCTTCTATCTTACATGTTACTTTTTACCAGTGTTTTAATTCCATCTTCGTTTCGTAATTGAAATATTTTTTGTTATAATATTCCTGCTGTATTCAGTCAGTTTTGGATTCATTTTTAACTAAATGTTTGACAATTTATATAATTAATTTTTTTCTCCTGTCTCATTCTGTTATTCAGATAGAGGCCATCACAAGATTTGGTGCATCAGCAGATTTCCAACTGATATGGAATTATTTCAGTATTCTAACAGCTAATACAATTTTTCTGGTATACCTGTTGAATAGCAGGCCTGGGTCCAGAAACAGTAACTATTATGCAGTCACCATTTGAAATTCCATTTCAACCTCAGTTTTTAGTGGGTTTCTCAAAGTATAGACATCTAGATTTATATATCTTTTCACTTAGTAAGTTGAAGATTTTTTTGGTCATCTTTTAATGCTGTGATTGAGGTTCAAGTTTGAATCTAAGTGTGATTTTTTTTTCAAATAAGTGGTTTTTTTCTCCAGTGGCTTCAATAGCATTTTGTATGTTTTATTATTATGTAGTTTCACTGTGGTGTGACAAAGAATACATGATGTAATAAGAAATGTGTGTGCTATTGTGTTATCTTCGCATTTGGCCTCTTTTTCATACTTTCCTTAAGAAATTAAGTGTTTTGTTAGATTATCTCATTTTAGTCCTAATGTCTTTATGTCTTTTCACTATTCTGTGATATTTTCTGTCTCTCTCTGTTGCATTCTAGCTAATTAGTGCAGTGACTCAGTTATCCAATTATCTTTGGACTATTTATAATTTACGTATTACAAACATAAATCTAATTTTGTTTTTTTTTAATTTCACTGTCTATATATTTTTATTTGTAATTGTTCTATTTGTGTCTTTCTCAAATCTTCCTGGTAGTTTTTCTTCCTCTTAAGCATTCAAGTATGTTTTTTATGACTGTAATAATATTAAATATACTTATTTTATGTTCGATTTCAGATTACTATAATATTACATAGGGTATATTACCATATTACTGATGTTATTCATATTTAAAAGCACCAGGCTAGCAGGCTGGAGCACAGGCCAAGGAGGAAGAGTAGCAGTTCAAGTCCAAAGCAGTCTCTAGGGAGAATTCCCTCTTCTTTGAGGCAGATTGGGCTTTTTCTTAAGGCCTTCAGCTAATTAGGTGAGACCTATCGACATTATGGAGGGCAACTGACTTTACTCAAAGTCTACTATTTTACATATTAATTCCATTAAAAAAATACCTTTACAGACACATTGTGAAGTTTGACCAAATATCTTGATTTCATGACTTAGCAAAGATGAATCATAAAATTAACCATCACACCTGCTGGAACAAAATTTTACATTGATTTCTTAACTTGAGGATTTCCAGACCTTGAAAGTTATTGTAAAGTTTCATGCCCTGTCTGCGGGTGTCACTGGCACAGCTACACGTCAAATTCTCAACAAAAAGATACAAGGTTCTTTGGTATTTCCCTCCCCCTGTGGGTATTGTTATTGTTGTTTTTGCTTTTTCTCATCAAGCCATCTACGTACTTGTAAGCTCTTCAAGGGTTGGTCACATTTCTACTTCTCATCCTTTACAGATTTATGGCCCTTTCATCTACCTGTATAAAGTCAAAACTAATCCTTTAGCTTCCCTAGGGCAATATATGCTTCCCTGGGTAATGAGAGTATTTGCTTACATTCTTACCATTCTACTTTTGTGTTTCCTTTCTCTTTCTTATTTCCTCCTCCTCCTCCTCCTCCTCTTACTCTTCTTTATGAATTAAATTATGATTCTAAAATAATTTTATCTCCAATTTCCAGATGCTTTTAGTGGGCAAAAGTTTTGCCAAATGATTTATATTTAAAAGACAGAGAAGCATTTTTAAACATCTTATTCATGTTTAAAATATACTTAAATATATTTTAATAGATTTCTTTCACTTCTTGATGTCTTTATCTCACTGCTATCAATATTGTGCTCATTTTTTATAGTTTAAAATTTTGATCACTGATTTTAAGAGCATTTGACATATTAAGGACATTAGATGCTTTTTGCTCATTTTATTTTCTGTATATTTAATTTAATTTATTTTTTGTCCTTTAAAATTGTATATATTTTGTTAAAGGATTTTTTACAAGTTGTGTGGTCACATTTATCAAATACATTCTTTTCTATGTAGCTTTTGGGTTCTCATCATGGGTATAAAGGATTTCCTCAACTCTAAAATATACATATATAATAACCAAAGTAAAATAATTTTAGTTACTTTATGGTTTTGTATTTAGATTTAAATCTTTAAACACAAGGGATTTATTTTGGTTTAAGGCATTTGGTATCCATGTTTATTTTCTCACAAATAATTAGGTAGTCATCTTCAAACTCATTTTAAGTAATCTATCTTTTTCCCTCTCCAAACACTAATTTTACAGATGAAGGAGCTCAGCCAGAGTATGACTTACCTACTGTTATAGGTAATTAATAATTAAAATGGGATTTAAACTGAGCTCTGTATACAAAATTCAGGTCTCTAACAACTATTCTTTATTTTCTGTTAGTATAGTAAAAATTATATTATCACTTATAAGATTTCTGATATTACTATACAATATTTTCGGTAAAGGATTCAAGTTTGTTAAAACATACAAGTACCAGTACTAGTACAGAATCCTTAAGTGTGTATTTGTGTGTGTTTGAAAATTAATTCTCTCAATGAAGGATATCATAAAAATTAATAAGAACAAGACCTTTATTAAGCAGCAGCAAAGTAATGGCCACAATAACAAGTGAGTGTAGATTGTAATAAAGCAAGTGACATTAAAAAGATGTTGGATATATGTAGGGAAAATTTAATTGGTGTATGTTCATAACATGACGTTTATATCCTCTTAAGAATGTGAGTTTACAGTAATGGGATGTAAAAATTCAACTTGTTGAATTATTTGTGGTATACTTGTTGTCTGTTGTAATATAATTAATATACATACTCAATTACAAAAATGCATCCTGATGTAAACATAGAGGAAGGTGTTGTCTTAAATGTTTCTTTCCATTAATTGGTTATAATATCCCTGAAAATGAATAAAGAAAATATTTATAAATATAAATATGAATAACAGAATTTGTGCTCAATAAATGATTATTGCATTAAGGCAAATGAAATCTGTGCATATGGATATGTTCATTATGCTGCCATGTCTTTTTTAAATAAATTAATTAGCACGTTTTTGGGGGTAATGTGTAAGGAAATATAAGACATTGCTTCTGTTCTTAAATAATTTAATATTTGTCTAGGAACTTAACATATTAACACACAGAGATTAATAATGCACATATATGTTATGACTCAAATTTATAGGAAAGAAAGCTATGGGCATTGAAAGAAGAAAGGGTTGTGTGATCAAAAAATAATGGGTGAAAATGAGATCTGTATGATTATTTTGCCTTTTTAAATAACTTAATATTCCAGTTGATGCATGACTAAGTGAAATAAATATGATGTTTTAAAATTAAACGAAGTAAAGGAGACATATACATCTGAAATAGAAGAGCCAGGAGTTTATGGGCCTCCATTCAAGCACATATAGGTGCTAATAGTAAAAGATTAAATTTAATCTCAGTAGAAAAAGATGAAAATCAAAATGAGGCAACGTTCAGACAGAATAGAAATGGTAAAGCCAGAAGCATCCTCAAGGCAGTTAAATAGCAAAGTGCCTGTTACCTAACAATGAAGATATAGGACCCAGTGCAATGCCCACTTTATGTAACAAGAAGCCTCAGTTTTTGTTTTTTGAGAAGAGGGTAAATTACCTTTTATACTTTAATCTTAAAAAGCATAAATTTATATGTATACTCTTAATGAATATAGTGTTTAAAAGATTGTAAATAACAAGTACAAATATTTTGTAGAGAGTTATCTTGACCAGTTTACTGTTATACTACAATATTCAAACCAAAAGGATTTAATACACTGAAATTTAAACGCAAAGACCATTTTTAACATGTCAATAGGATGTATGAACATTTAATACATTTAGTGACATTCATTAACATACTTTATTTTAACAGAATTATGCTATACTATGATAAAATAGTAGCAAGTATCTATAGCTAAAATAAATAATTTCTTAAAATTGACAACATCAAATTGCATCCATTAAAAAAATTAATGATTAATTCACGTTTTTATATTGGTCTTCGGGTTGAGGTTCATGTTTCTAATGCCTTTGAATCTTGATATTTACAGTTTTTTCAGTAGCACATTAAGAAAGACTTTTGCTTCTTCAAAATAAAGACTTGATTCTTATTTTGAATTTTGAATTTATGCTTTTTCTTATTCATAGGTATTTAATAGGACTGCCTGATAATATTAGTGCCAACCGCCAGGATTATCATGCAACAATATAAAAATATCACATTGTTTTCTAGTCTTGTAAATGTCATATCAGCAGTCAAAGTGTCCATATATTTCACTGAAACACCTTGTTTCTTTCTACACCACTGCTTCCTAATAACAGGAGATGTGACTATCTGAGACTTTTCAGGGCCATTTAGCACAAAGTATGGCTATGAATTTCAAACTTATTTTTAGTCTGATTTGTAAAAATATAGTAAAAGTACTATATTTAAACATTAGGTATTGCATCTTCTACCATTTATTGATTTTTTTCTACATTATTATCATGCTATATATATACATATATATGTATATATACACACATTTATATTTTTACACTTATTTTTTTTCTCCTGTATCTCAGTTGTCTGAAGAGCACACGGATCACGAGGTCAAGAGATCGAGACCATCCTGGCCAACTTGGTGAATCCCTGTCTCTACTAAAAGTACAAAAATTAGCCGGGGTGGTGGTGGGCGCCTGTAATCCCAGCTACTCAGGAGGCTGAGGTAGGAGAATCGCTTGAACCCGGGAGGCAGAGGTTGGAGTGAGCTGAGATCGCACCAGCGTACTCCAGCCTGGCGACAGAACGAGACTCTGTCTCAAAAAAAAAAAAAAAAAAAAAAAAAAAAGAAAGAGGTGACTGATACAGAGTACATGATGATGCAATATTAATTACAATATTATGTTCTCAGTGAAGTTTTCTCTGGCCAATGACATCCTCCCTGACCATCTTCTGTAATAATATAACCACACTGTTAATCCCTTCCCTTACTAACCTGTATCATCAGACGACATTATACATTTTCCTTCGTAACTCCTATTTCCTCTGAGTGGATAGTAAGCTCCATGAAAGCAAACATATTTTCATCTTGTTTTTTAATGTTTATCTCTAATTCCAATGTATGGCAACTTGTAGCCACTAATAATTACTTTTTCAGTGAATAAATGGAAAAGAAGATGGAGCTAGAAAACTTATGAAAGAGCAGGTACTGCTAAGAAGATGCAATTTTAAAATTTTACCTACTGTAAAATTTACCGATTTTGTGTAGTTTTATAAATTCTGATAAGTACATAGTGTTATGTAATCACAACCATAATAAAAATACAGAACAGCACCATCAACCCAAGACTTTTTCTTGTGTGGTTTCATTGTAGTTGATCAGTCTCCCTACTCCTAACTCCTAGCAACCATAGAACTGTGCATTCTTATAGTTCTACCTTTTTCTAGAATGGCATAAAAATGGACTTACATGGTTTGTAGTCAAGTTAGTCTAGCATAATTTTACTTATAATGTATTTGTGGTTTATACATGTTGTATGTAATAATAATTTATTCTTTTTATTGTTGACTAGTGTTTTATCACATGAATATGCCATGAAGTGTTTATTTTTTCACCAGTTGAAGAAAGACTGAGTTGTACCCAATTTTGGGCAATTAAGAATAAAGCCATTGTAAACATTCACTTGGAGCTTATCATTTCTCTAGGGCTTACATACACAGTCAAAATTACTGAGTCATATAGTCAGTACATGTTTAACTTTATAAGAAACTACTGAACTCCTTCCTAAAGAGGCTGTGCTATTTGGCATTCCCACTAAGAATATATGAAAGTTTGAGTTGCTCTGCATCTTCACCCATATTTGTGTTGTCAGTTTTGCTATTGCTATTTGTGTTACTTAATTTTTTGATATTTACTTGTTTGTTTTGATAGAAATAAATATGAATTTGATAAATTTCTAATTTATCAATTTTGGGGTAATGAGTCATGCTTTTGTGTGACATCTAAGACTATTTTGCTTACAACATGGTCATAAATATTTTCTCCTATGTTTACCCTTAAAAGTGTAAATTTAGGTCTATGATATATTTTAAGTTAATTTTTGCATAAAGCATGAGGTACAGGTAGAGCTTCAATTTATTGTACATGGAGGTCCAATTTTTCCAAGCACATTTGTTGAAAAGACTGTCCTTTTACCATTAAGTTACCATTTCACCTTTCTGAAACAAGAATTGTTCTTAACCCGTTGAGTCTATTTATGAACTCTCCGTTCTGTTCCATTTATGTATATGCCTATTCTTTTGATAAAACCACACAGTCCTGGTTACTGTAGGTAATAGTAAATCTCGAAATCAGACAGTGTGAATCCTTTCGCTGTTTTTCTGATATATATTTTGGAATCTTTTTGATATCAATAGAAAAAGTATACTGGGAATAGGACTTGGATTACATTGATATATAGGGAAATTGGGGGTGTTAAAATATAATATTCCTGAGACTTCCAATCATAAACTTAGTGTATCTCTTCATTTATTTGTTTTCTTTGATTTTATTCATCAGTGTTTTATGGCTTTTAGCATTTCAATCCAGGCCATATCGTGTAAAGTTTGCATCTAAGTACTTTTTTTGTGTGCTCTTGTAAACGATACTGTTTTTAAATTTTGATTTCCAAATGTTCAATGTTATTATTCAGAAACACAATAGATTTTTTAGAACCGACCTTGTATACTGCCATGTTGCTAAACTCACCTATCAGTTATAGGAGACTTTCGTGTTGATTCCATTTGAAAATTACCGTATAGATGTTTATGTTGCAAAGAGAGACAGTTTTATTCCCTCTTGCCCATCTGCCATTGCGTTAATTTCCTTTTATTTCTTTGCTGCACAGTCTAGGACTTCCAGCATGATATTGAATAAGAGTTGGAGAGGCCAATTTGTTATATTTCAATCTTTTATTTTCTATGTTTAAGATTGCATAATTTCTACTAATCTATCTTCAGGTATACTAATTCTTTCTTCTGTCATCTCTATTCTGCTACTGAGGCCATCTAGTATTTTTAAAATGTCAGATATCATGTATTTACTTTCTAAATTTTCATTTAAATGTTTTCCATTATTCTGATTTACCTTCTATAAAACTACTTTTCATTTCTTTTAAGAGTATTCATCTTTACCTCATGGAGTATGTATTAAAGGCTTCTACAGAGTCTTTGTGTGATAAACCCATCATCAAGGCAACCTTGAAGTTAATATCTAATTGATTTTTTCCTAATTCTTTATCAGCTTCTTCTTTATGGTATGTTATTATTTTGGATTGTACTCAGGAGATTTTGTACATCATGAAATTCTGGACCCTGATCAAATCCTATGGAGAATGTTTGTTGTAACATTGTTATTGTTGTTTTAGAAGGTAATTGACATGCATGGGTTAAGACTGAAACTTCTATCTCACCTTCTGTGGGCACTAGCTACAACGTCAGCACACCTTCAGACTTTGCTCTGCCATTTGTGTATTGCCTGTTCTTGAGCCACTCTGAAGTTCATCTGGGAACAATCTGGTTGGTAGTTTACAGTACAGTTCAATTCTCAAATATTTTGCTCTGCCTTATTTGCTCTGCTCCATGTGTGCTGACCCTGAGAGTGAGCCTAGGTTCACGTGTTTGTTTATACACAGGATTTGGGATCTGCTTCTCTAGTGCTGTCTTTGTCTATATTTTCTCCACAATTTCCAGTTCTGAGGTGCCTAATTTCCCAGATCCTGTAGGTGGAAAAATAGTTTCTCAGAATTTTAGCCCCTCTGCTGTCAAACAATTCCACAATACTAAGTCTATCTTTGGGGCAAGATGTCAAATAAAAAGAGAGAGAAAAAAATAGTAGGAATTTCTGGCATACACTTTAGACTTTTGTCTTTCCAGTGTCTATGGCTAATGATAAAGGTTGTTTCTCTTTACGGTTTTAGGAGCCCATGACACTGCCAGCACGATAGCAGCACAGCTTTGAGATTGGGTCTGGCCTCAGAGCAGGGAGACAGGAAAAATCTAAAACAAAAAACAAAAAAGGATTTCTCTCACATCCCTGGGATCTAAAAATTCCTCTTTTCTACCCTTCTGGCCAGACAGAGGGGTTTTTCCCAAGAGATTTTGCTGTCTTTTCACTGTGCAATTCTGCAATTCATCTAGTAAAAGCCGAGTAATAAAGAAAGAAAACAACAAGAGCAACCTGACTACCCTTCCAGTCATTCCTTAGGTTTTGATTTTTCAATCTGTCTGCTATTGTTTACTTCTCAGAGTCCTTGTGGAGTTACTTTTTCTACTCTATCCAGACTTTTTGTTGCAATCAGTAGAGGGAAATGGATTATAGTGGGTTTGCTGCATTTTAGCCTGCACCAGAAGTCAGAAAATGCAGACTTAACTCCACACTGGCAATCTCAAATACTTTTGGGGACTTTACGATGCACATATTAATGTTATTAATGATTCATATATTTAACTTTATGATTCACATATTAATATTATTAATAAGCCATGAATACTGCTCTTATAAAGCTCCTACTCTAATATAGAAGGTGAATTTGCAAATCAATACACAATTACAAGACAGTGTGATTAGTGCTATGGCAAAGTTAAGTGTAAATCTCAGAAGCAGCACAGAATGGCAACATTTCTCTCTCCCTGAAGAGGGAAAGTTAGAAAAAATTTTACTAAGACCTTGCCCTTAAACAATGAGAATGAAAACAGATATGAAACAGGAAGTTCCAGAAGGCACAACAGCATGAAAGAGAAAATAAAGGACCAACATTATTTCTATTCTTATGGCAAGAGGTGAGCAGATTGTATTATCAAAATGGATTGTTACTACATTATCTGTGTTAGGTCCAGAACGGCATTATCTTATGATAAATTTAATAGGCTTTTAAAGCTAAAAATGGCATCATAATCACTCATCTGAACTCTTTAATTAAAAATTGGTTTAAAATCTAAACTTTATATACTTGTCTGACCATCATGGAAATTTCAAATGTAGAAGTCAGATGTCCTGTCTCCCAGCCCAGAACTTCCTCTGCTACATGGTTTTATTTTTTGGCCATTTTTAACTGCCAAACAGAAAGTCAAAAATGAACAACCTAAGGATTATTATCATATTAATTGATATATTTATTTGTACTTTGACATGAAATATGGTCGGGTTCAATTTTCATTTGAAGGGTCTGACAGGATTTGCCAGCTATTGCCTTGAATATGAAACCAAATGCTTATCCTTCAATCCCAGGCAGTGAAAACTGTGACTAAAGGATTTAACTAGCTATTTCCAATGGAATTAATAGATACCTCATCAGAATAAATATGCTTAGCTTTTAATATAAAGGCTCCATTTTTATAATCCTCTATAGTTTTGAAAATTCTAACTTAGCTTTCTTCTCTTTCTTGTTAGGCAGCTGGCTGTATATTTACCCCCTTAAAAATCCTTGGCCATTTCCCTGAAGGGGATAGAGTCAGTGGACTGAATAGGATTAGCATCAAAAGTCACCACTGCTTTCCCAAGCAGAGTTTAAAAATAGGATCATTGAATAATAAGGGATTTAAGTCTCAACCGAGCAGGGTGTAGAAGGAAATTATTTGGATTTAGACCAAGAGAGATTAGGGTGTTATTAGAGACTACTATGTCCTTTATATCAGATTGAGGGACTTGAAAGAGAAGACTTGCAGGGAAAAAAAAAGTCAGGTCACAAAATATTCTACTTGCTTCCCTAAATCAATCAAAGAAAGATTGCTCTTTCCCTATACATTTCTGAGTCTGAGAGTACTGACTGAAATGAACACAAAGAGGTGAAGGTCTAGCAGTGTAACAGTGTATGGTTTAATGAAAATTACCTTTGGGAAATAGTCAGTATAGGAATCAAGGAACCAAGACAGATAACCAATACTAATAACTTCTATACAGATCTTTTATCTTAAAGAATCCCAAAACAATTTCCAAGAAAGAAAATGCTTCATACTCAGCTGAAGTCCATCCACCCCAGAGTATGGTATTTATATTTAATATAGAATTCTTGCCAAAAACAAACAACAGAGAAAATTTTTTCTTCAATATAAGGCTAGTTTACATTGCTTAATCAAAGCTGGGATAAAAGAAATTGTTCCTCTTTGGTATTGCTGAAATATTTTGGAGGAGGAAAGTGTCTATATAAAATCACTTTAAATTTTTTTCCCAATCAAATTGAAGTAGATGTCAATATATTTTATTAATATAGTTTATTAAGAAGGCAATTAGTGATGAGGCCAAATCAGGTGACATACACCATTTAAGTCTCAGCAAGTGTTTGCAGGAAAAAACTTATTTTAAATTTGCAAAACACTTTACTTATGTAAGTTTATAACTTTGAAATAATGCTGGACATGTATTTTGTAGAATCGATTTGTTTTCTTTACGAAGATAGTAATGGTTCTTTGAAGAGAACCTATTAAAATCTATTTGAACAAGGTAGGACATGAATAATTCTTGTACATCTTCAAAACATATAAGTGAAACTGATATTAGAACATTTTTTTCTACCTAAAATGTCATTTATTTGCAAATCTGTAGAAAGTTTCAGAGCAGCAAGAATATAAACCTTTAACATATAGTTAAAAATTCCAATGTGGCTGGGTGTCTGTCAGGTTTTCGTTGCTGTAGTTATCTGTCTTTATTTTAGTGAATTTCAGATTTAATTTTTAGTTGAGAATTGAAATAGAGAATATGATCTAGAATGCTATGCACATCAACTTTTATGTAAAGTAAAGAACAAATGATAGACCTTTTCCTTCCATAGGAGTATTTAGTTTGTGTTTATTGCATCACAAATAGGTTGAGTTTCTACCATAGACTGAAAGCATTAACAAATATAATTGATAAGAATTTACTAAAATATAGTGAGGTAACTAATATTTTTCTGAAATTAACCTGGAGTCTAGGTATTGCGAGATCTATTAGCATAATCACGTCCATCACAATGAATGTCTGACTTAAAAAAAAAAAACACACTAGATTGATTGGTCATGTACCCAGACATGGGTAATTGGGTACTGTATATGTACACATGTGTATGTGTACATGTGGGTGTGATTATATATGTAAGTGTGTTTAACTGTGTGTGTATATACATACAAATATATATATGTTCTATTAATCAGAGATAACTTAGTTATGTAGTTAGATCCAGAGTCCATGAGAATCTTTAACAGCTATCTTAAAACATGATGTTGTCACAGACTGACCAGCTTTCTGCTTTCATTGTTTACAAGTTTTAATATTACTTACTATGTTAATAATTCAGTAAGTAGTTCTAAATACGAATCACTACTCCACACTGTCGATCTTTCAGAGAAGACGATTTCACTCTGAGAAAAAAAAAAATTTTCATCATGATCTGTTATGTGTCCTAAAATTAAAGAGAATGTTTTAACATGACATAAAAATCCAACACTACTTTGAAAATATTTGTTCATCTTTAACCTATTATTTAATTGGATAACAGCTTAGTATAACAGAAAGAAAACTGTGCTTAGAAAAGGACCTCAAACATAATAAAATCCCAGTAAACATTATTATTCCTATTCATCTTAAGGTTTTTTTTTTTTTATTTTTCATCATCAAATTAGGGATAATAATAGTTCCTTGGATGTCTTTTGGAACAAATGTGTTAATACACATGTTATACTTCTCTTGTGTCTTGAACTACATCAACAATAGGTAGTAAAATAGTTATAGAGTTTTGAGGTAAGAGGCTGGACTCAACTTTGGAAGCAGGGCTTGGACATTAGACCAAATTGAGGACTAGCTAAAACAGGGCCTGGGCAGAAGCAGTTTTCCATGAGACACACCCATCAGCTTGCCATGTCAGTTTATCATTGCCATGGCAACACCTGGAAGATACTGCTCCTTTCCATGGCAACAACCCAGAGACCCAAAAGTTACCACCGTTTTCCTAGAAATTTCTGCATAATCAGCCCTTAATTTGCATGTAATTACAAGTGAGTATACATGTGACTGCAGAACTGCCTTTGAGCCGCTACTCTGGGCACACTGCCTAAGGGGTAGCCCTGCTCTGCAAGGAGAAGTACCTCTGTTGCTGCTGTACACTGGCGTTCCAATAAACATTGCTGTTTAACACTATCAGCTTGCCCTTGAATTCTTTCCTGGGCAAAGCCAAGAACCCTCCCAGGCTAAGCCCCAGCTTGGGGGCTCTCATGCCCTGCATCAGTTTGATAAAAACCTACCTTATTGTTATCACTATGGATGGAGGAAGACATTATTTTGCTTGAGTCATTTTTAGTGAGACTTTTATGGATGCTTTAGATATAACCATTATGTAAGGAATTGGGATAACGTGTGATGTGGAAGGTATACACCAACAAAGCCTTGGAATGGGTATTTGGAGCACAGGAAGAGGTTTTCAGTGCCGACAGAAAATTATGATTTAAGAAAACATTAAACTTGCTGTAAAAACAGATGATAAGATTAAGAAAAAATTATGTAAAGTCGTAAGAGTCAGGTAGCAGTTTGGGTTTTTCTACATCTTGCTTAAATTCTATTTTGTGGAAGATGAACTTTCTTTTTGTAAAATGATACATTTTGGCTTAGAAATAAAATGTCCAAATGCTTTGAAGTTTGAATTGATCAAAAGAAAAGTCACCACAGTGACGTGAAAGCTCTAAAGATTATAAAGAAAAGGACAATCTCTAAAACAAAAAGCTTAGGTTCTCTATTGGTAACGAGCCTTATATACTGTGCAAACCATTTCATTTGTGTTTGTTTACCAACTAGAGTTTTACATTTACAGCAAGAAAGAATAAATGCATTTTAAAACAGAGATTTAGTAGGTTGCTCCTGATCAAATCAGCTACCATATATTTTAAAATGTTTCAAACACAGGTCTTATTAGAAAAATAAAAGAATTATTGCTTGTCAGACGTTGCACACACACACAAAAGTGTACCAAAAACTTTTGCCTACTTGAGATATTTTGCTTCTCCTAAATTCTGGGGCTGGTTATTTTGATTAATATTGAGAAGCTGTGGGAATGACTTCCCTAGAAATCTTGACTAGGTTAGAAGCACATCTGTCTTACATGGCTTAGTTGTAGTCCTGCCTGGAGGCAAAGGACAGATAACCTGAAGTAGAATAAGAGGCCCAAAGGAGAGGATTAAGTCACTAGATTAGTGGTGACCATATGCTCTTTAGAAGGGTCCCGAACTTGCTCATTTCCATGGGAAAAATATGTTTTTCTCAGTGGTCTTGAATTTTAATGAAAGAACAATGCTACCAGTTTCCTTTGAAATGCTTGCTATCAAATCATCATTCAAGAACATTTTTGTTCCATATATAAAAATGCAAAATTATTGTTATGAAAACTCTCTCCCCTCCTCTTTCCCTTGTCTCCACTGCTTGCTTCCTTAACCTCTCTTTTCCCCTTTCTCCCTTTCTTCTTCCTTTCTCTCTCCCACTTCCTACCTGCCTCCTTTTCTTAGTTCTTCTTTCCTGCTCTGCTCTCTCTCTCCCTTCCTTTCTTCCCTCCCTCCCTCCTTCCTTCCCAAATATTTAGAAGTACTTCACTAATATTGTGTTTCAGATGATGTTTTATTAGATTACTGAACAGTAAGAGAATAACCTAAAAAAAACCTTTGAATTCAAAACACACAATCGTGTTTACATTGATTCTTACTTTTTTACTGTTAGTAGCAAAAGGTTTCAAGCGTGAAACAAAATGGATAAAACTAATTGTTAATTTTCTACAAGTCATCCTATACTGCTATAAAATACTGCACTGCACTGTACTGCACAGGTAGAAAATGATTTCTGAACTTATTTGAAGTCTTCTCTTGTGTTTAACCTATAATATAGAACTTTTCTTTATTCTTGCTGAAAATGCATTTTTTTGTGAGAGCCCATTAACTCAAAAGATAAGAATTTATTGTAAACTGGGAAAGGTCTAACTTAAGTGTTTCGTGTTTTCTTCTTCATGTTTTAATTAGGACTTTAATTCTATTAAAGTGTACTATAAGTTAATATTCAGAATAAAAGAAAAAATAGAAATTCATTAGTTGTAGTTATGTTTAAATATTTCTATTATCCAAGATAATTTATTTGCTAATTTACTTTAATTTCACTCAAGAGAATCAAATGCCATCGAATTTCTCTGGCCTTCACATCACTTATCTTTTTCTCTGCTTCTCCTTAGATTATTCCTCCTGCCTGGAATGTTCATCTCTCTTTATCTTGTCTATCTTTTATTTCCCAACTGAAAATGCCAGCTGTCTTATGTATGATGCTTTCCTCGATACGTCTCCCCACTACTTCCCTGTTGAATGTGAAAGTCTCAAATTCCAAAATACTTTATCATGAAGTTTCTTTTCACTACAGAATATACATGCTTGTGATAAATCTTTTCTCATCCATAGACAGTAAACTCCGTGAGGGCAGGGCCAGTTTCATATTTATGTAGGTATGGCTGAGAACGTAAGGCCCAGTGTCAGTATATTGGTGCCTCATGAATATTTGTTAGATGAGTGCCCAAAATGCCTTAATTTCAGATCTGAAACATAGAGGGTTTACCGCTTGTTATAAAGCCTCCACTTATTATTGTAAAGAAAGTCTTAAGAGTTGTACTTTTCTTCTTCTCATTCTCTTATTGTGAAAGGAAGTAATAGGCATATTTTAATGATATATGTTTAGTTAAATAAAATTTCCTTTTGTCCAAGCAATCCATGTTAAAACAAAACAAAGCTAAAAACTTCAGTGTAACTTGTGAAAGTCATAACCTAAATATGGAACTTTGCTAGAGATATGAAAAATTCGTTTCCTCTGTAGTCACATAATTTTAAAAGCTTTAAAAAAGTAATAACAACTAATTACTATATGAAGCTAGAACTTGTATAGTACTAACATGTGCCAGGCATTGTTCTATGTACTTTGTATATACAACACATCTACCCTCACAAAACCTGTGTGAAGAAACTGAGTCACAAAAAGCTCATTTTACTTATCCAATATCTCACAATTAGAAGTATCAGAGACTGGAACTGGACCTAGTTAATGTGGCCCTCAAATCCCTACTCTTAACCACCATACTATATTACTTTCTAATTGGTAGCACAAGTACAAAATAAAAGTTCCAGTATAATGTACATAATTTATTCAAAAAATTATTGGGCATCTATTAGGTACCAATATGTTAGATGTAATTTAGAGGCAGTATAACATAAATGTAATCTAGATATTATATTAAATATAAATTATATCTCTTTTTAAAATATTCAGTTTTCTTTTATTAAAGTATTGTGATTTTAAAATACATGCTGGAGTTAAGATGAAGATAACTGAACATTTTATAAGCCAAGGTTTGCTAATGTTTTCTTCATTCATCTCTCCTTTTTACTGCATCCTGAATCATATTCTTATTTTTCTGACCATGTCTTTTGTAATAAAACTTGAGAATGATCAATATAATATTTATCATTGAAATGTTTTATAATTATTAAATAGGCATTTATATGTCTTTGTGGAATACTAAGTATATATTAAATATATTACCATTTGGTAAGTTTTTATGTAAGAATTTTCAGACTGTAAAATGCACATGCTTTGGGGATAGTGAAAGATAGTGGAGTTTCTCAAACATAGCTCCCTAATTTTAGAGCCAAGACTGAGATGAGAAGAGGCTAAGATCTTGTCCAAGGTCACACAGCAGTAAGTGACATGATGATTAAGTGAAGTCATTCAAAGCAACCTTTTAACAGAATGGTACAAAATAATTAATCTAGGCTGACTCTCTTATGAATGTCTACTTTCCTTAGTTTATCTGAGTTTCTCTGACTCACATGTTAAATAAAGTTTCTTTTCTTTGTTACAAACATATAAACACACTATTCAAATATTTTGTGGATACCATACAGGCATACATTATGCTTACAAATTTATTATTTTCCTGAAAAGTTTTTTAAACTGTCATTTCATTTTATGAAACAGTCAAACTGATAAATATATATGAATACATCAATATATGCACAGTTAATTATTGATGTGAACATTAAAGAAATGTTCACATCAATATAACAATATAAAACAAATATAGATAAATGTATATACATATATAAGTATATTGATGGGATTCAGGACATGGTATCCCAACATACAGCACCTGGGCATTTGAGAAAACGGTAAAAACAGGAAGGTCTCTCAGACATTTTCTTGCCATTCTCCCCAAAATAAGCCATTAAAAAGTTATCTGACCAGCCTCTAAAGTAGGTCATAGGACCCTCATTCCCAGTTGGGTGCTCCCTATACTTGGAGGAAAGGAAGGCAGACACAAAAGATGCCAAGAAGAACCTGAACAGGCCTTGCTAAGTTTCTCCCAATATGTTACCATTAGATCATACCTTTTTATTGCCCAGTCATACTTCTGTACAACTGTCCATAAAAATACACAAGTTTCTCTGTTTCTTTGGGTCTTTATATCTGAATGCTCCCATGTTGTGTAAAACTTATATTAAATAAATGTGAATAACTGTCTCTTGTTAATCTGTCTTTTGCTACAGTAGTCTTAGCAATAAATCTAGCAATGGGAAAAGAGATATGATTATTATGTCTATATAATAGAGTACAGAAAATACAAAGGTTATGTACCTTTGTACTTAAATTTGAATTTAAGAGACTGATATTCTGTAAATTCAAATTAAAACTACCAAAAGCCCACAGTGACAAACTGAAAACTACGCTGCTTTTTAATTAAGCTATTTGCTAACATCCTGTTAGAAAGCAATTCAACCAATTGACAATGTGCTCAGAATAATACTCACTTGAAGAGCAATACCTAAACCTTTTCTAGAAGTAAAAATTTAAAGCCTAAAAACAAGAACTGTTCATAGAAGGAATTTTACCTTAAGACGTATTTTAAGAACAAAAAAATAAAGCATACTAAATCCTATGTTAAAGGATGGAAAACAATGTAATATAATATTATGTGTAATTTATTGGGAAACGAGATGGATTAGTGAAACATGAATACTCTCATCAAAATTATACATTTCTTCTATTTGGACAAGAAAGCCTTTTTATTAATGAACCATTAGAAGACATAACTAAAGCGAAGACTTATGCACGCATGACTTCTAAGTTAAAACCAGAAAAACTCTCTAATAATGGAACTATCAATGTTGAATATTTGTGTAGAAGGCTCTTCTGCACTGAGAGGAAATAGACTTATTCAAATCAAGAGTCCCTTCTTGCTTGGATTGTAGGATTCCAGATCCAATTGACAATCTCTCTATATATACTATCTCTTTATCTCTCCCCGCCACCCCACCCACTCTCTTAACATGTATGGGTCAAAATATGTTGTCCTCATGCTCAGTCATGCCTCCATACTGCTTTTCATGGTTTAAACCTGCTTATTAGTGATGTAAGTTTTCTTCCTGGATGCCATGGTGTGGTTTTTTCCTGCTTGAAGTAATTTTAACACCCATTGGCCTGTGACCTCTACAAATGACTACTGTTCAGCTGCTTGCAGTGTCTTATGGTTATTATAGTTGTTTAACCACACATACAAAGGTTTTTACACAAATAACTGTATACCTACCACTTGAATAACGCTGTTTTCCCCTAAACCGCTAGATTTTAAAGCAGAGTGCTTTATTCTGCTTGTAAGCATGAGCAAATTTAAGTTCATCTTAAATGAAAACACCATAGATGTTCCTTTTGCGTTTGCATTTTCAATGAATGGTGGCCGGAACTGGTTTCACATTACTATTTCACACAGACTGATGGATAGGCATTTTCATAATCAAGATTGTACAAAAGATACAATATGAAAGTGACAAAATGCATTCAATAAACTAAATAGAGACATTAACAGTGCCCTCCTGTTTTAATAAAGAAGTCTTTGATGTATGTTTATTCCTTTACATATTGACAGCCGTCAGACCTCTTCTTCTACT
Organism: Homo sapiens; assembly: GCF_000001405.40. NCBI lineage: Eukaryota > Metazoa > Chordata > Mammalia > Primates > Hominidae > Homo > Homo sapiens. The sequence goes on from NC_000003.12 coordinate 86,279,970, forward strand.
ACAAATTAAGTAACAAAACTTAGGTTATGATAATTAATATCTCATGCCACCCAAACCCTTACAATGTGAATATAATCATACGCTAAGCCAATTGAAAGGTTAATTAAGGTTCTTGCCCTCAAGGAGTTTATAATCCATAAGAGACCTAAATATTTTTGTTATTATGGATGGACTTATTCATTCTAATTATTACTTTAAGCAAAGAGCAGTTAAAAGAAACTATTTTTTGTAATAACTTGAATGCTTCCTTAATTGAAGAAAACTTTGTTCTCTTCACTTCTCCTCTTCAAGAATCCTTCCTTCTGGCCATAATTAAAACGTCAAAAAACAATTGATGATGGTGTGGATGTGGTGAAAAAAGAGCACTTTTACACTGCTGTTGGGAGTGTAAATTAGTACAACCATTATAGAAAGCAGCATGGAGATTCCTTAAAGAACTAAAAGTAGAACTACCATTTTATCCAACAATCCCACTACTGGATATCCACCTCCACCCAAAAGAAAGAAGTCGTTATATGAAAAAGATTCATGCACACGTATGTTTATAGCAGTGCAATTTGTAATTGCAATTACAAATATATGGAACCAACCTAAGTGCTCATCCACCAACGACTGAATGAAGATGTGGTGTGTGTGTATATATATATATATATATACACACACACACACACCATAGAATATATATATATATACCATAGAATATATATATACCATAGAATATATATACACCATATAATATATATACCATAGAATATATATACCATAGAATATATATACACCATGGTATATATATATACCATAGAATATATATACACCATGGTATATATATATATACCATAGTGTATGTATATACCATAGAATATATATTATATATATATATATATATATATATATATATATATATACACACACCATAGAATACTACTCAGTCATGAAAAGGAACGAAATAATGTCTTTTGCAACAACTTGGATGGAAGCTATTATTCTAAGTGAAATAACTCAGGAATGGGAATAACTAAGGAATAACTTAGGAATGGGAAACTAAGTATGGTATGTTCTCACCTCTAAATTGGAGCTACGCTATGAGGATGTAGAAGCATAAGAATAATATAATGGACTTTGGGGACTCGGCAGGAAGGGAGGGAGAGGGATAAGAGATAAAAAAAACTATATATTGGGTACAGTGTACACTGCTTGAATGATAGGTGCACCAAAATCTCACAAATCACCACTAAAGAACTTATTGATGTAACCAAAAACCACTTGTATCCCTAAAACTATTAAAATTAAAATTAAAAAATAATCCTCCATTCTTTTTGAACTAAATTCTTTTCTAGCCTTTGCAGCACCTTTCCCCAAACCAGTTATGACGGTGCAAAACATCCTACTCCATTATCATTCTCCTTTCTCTTGTCTTCTCTCTTCCCATACGTTTTCCTTCTGTCTTTCAATTGCCAATTAAGTTATAGTAAATCCACACCTAAAGTACTCTTTCTTCTTTTTCTCACCAGTTGTCTACCTAATAGCTGCTTTCAACCAAGAGGTACAGCAATCTTTTCCTCCTCAACACCTCTATGTTCCTTTGCTTTCTTCCTGATAGTTTGCATATCTCCTGTTCTTTATTTTTCAATATAAATTTATCCAAGGTAAAAGACCCTACGCTCAACAATCTCAAGATCCTGAATATCACGTGTTAAATAGCTAAAACAGTGAGGGGGTAAAACCTACAATAAACATTTAAAATAGGAGATAATGAATAAAGTTTCTGTTTGAAACTAATCAAATCACACTCAGTGGATTCATGAAGCTACACTATTATTATTATCATCTGTGACTTTTCAGGGATGGAGATGGATAAAGAAAATCAACAATTTAAAGGAAATATATTAAATATATACTTAATGCAAGAGAAAATAGTCATTCTGGGAATGCAGTCCTAGAGTTGAAAATCGATTCCTCACTAAGCACCGCAACCAAGTAAAATTGTTACCTCTTACTGTTTTGTTTCTCTTGAATTAGTATCTTCCTCATTTCTGGTAGAAATTATTTTTATCCTTCTCATGGTGGCACTACGCTTTCTCTCTTCTGCTGCTCATATTGAGAGGGGACAGCGTACTGGCAGCCCTCACAGCCCTCGCTCGCTCTTGGTGCCTCCTTGGCCTGGGCGCCCACTCTGGCCACGCTTCAGGAGCCCTTCAGCCCGCTGCTGCACTGTGAGAACCTCTTCCTGGGATGCCTGAGGACGGAGCCGGCTCCCTCAGCCAGCGGGGAGGTGTGGAGGGAGACGCACCTGGCGGGAACCCGGTCTCCCAGGCGCTTGCGGGCCAGCTAGAGTTTCGGGTGGGCTTGGGCTTGGCGGGCACCGCACTGGGAGCAGCCTGCCCGCCTGGGCAGTGAGGGGCTCAGCACCGGGGCCAGCAGCAGCGGAGGGTAAGCTGGGTCCCCCAGCAGTCACTCGATTTCTTGCCGGGCCTTTGCTGCCTCCCAGTGGGGCAGGGCTCAGGACGTGCAGCCCGCCATGCCTGAGCCTCCCCTCATTCCCTCCACAGTGGGCTTCTGCGTATGGGAGCCTCCCAGACAAGTGCCGTCCCCTGCTACATGTGCCTGGTCCCATCCACCACCCAACGGCTGAGGAGTGCGGGCACACAGGGTGGGACTGGCAGTCAGCTCTACCTGCGGCCCCACTGCCGGATCCACTGGGCGAAGCCAGCTGTGCTCCTGAGTCTAGTGGGGACTTGGAGAACCTTTATGTCTAGCTAAAGGATTGTAAATACACCAATCGGCACTCTGTATCTGCTCAAGGTTTGTAAACACACCAATCAGCACCCTGTGTCTAGCTCAGGGTTTGTGGTTGCACCATTCGGCACTCTGTATCTAGCTAATCTGGTGGGGACTTGGAGAATCTTTTATGTCTAGCTAAGGGATTGTGATTACACCAATCAGCACTCTGTATCTAGCTCAAGGTTTGTAAATGCACCAATCAGCAATCTGTGTCTAGTTCAGGGTTTGTGAATACACCGATCAGCACTCTGTATCTAGCTAATCTAGTGGGAACTTGGAGACCTTTTGTGTCTGGCTCAGGGATTGTAAATGCACCAATCAACATCATGTCAAAATGGACCAATCAGCTGTCTGTAAAACAGACCATTGGGCTCTCTGTAAAATGGACCAATCAGCAGGATGTGGGTGGGACCAGATAAGAGAATAACAGCAGGCTGCCTAGCCCACAGTGGTAACTTGCTCCAGTCCGCTTCTACACTGTGGAAGCTTTGTTATTTTGCTCTTTGCAATAAATGTTGTTGCTGCTCACTCTTTCAGTCCACACTGCCTTTGTGAGCTGTAACACTCATCGCAAAGGTGTGCAGCTTCTCTCCTGAAGCCAGGGAGACTACAAACCCACCAGGAGGAAGGAACAACTCCAGACGCGCCATCTTAAGAGCTATAACACTCACCATGAAGGTCTGCAGCTTCACTCCTGAGCCACCGAGACCACGAACCCACCAGAAGGAAGAAACTCTGAACACATCCGAACATCAGAGGGAACAAACTCCGGACACGCCACCTTTAAGAACTGTAACACTCACTGCGAGGGCCCATGGCTTCATTGTTGAAGTCAGTGAGACCAAGAACACACCAATTCTGGACACAATATCATCAGATAATATGCCATGCACCATTGTATAATATCTGTATCATTTTATAAAGCACGACAGAGTATTGGAATGTAACTATACACACACAAAATGTACATTTTACACATATTGAAATATGCATAAAGCATACATATCTCAAGGTAGTCATTACATGACCAAAAAAGAACGAGATTTAACTGGGAAATGAAAAGAGTGCATCACATTCTGTTAGTTCTATTTGACTTAAGAGTATCTCTCTCAAGAATTACTGTTTACTATAAAGGAAAAGAAAGGTATCACTGATTCAAAAACAATCCAAACTATATACATACGAAGCAAAATTCAGTAAAACCTGTTTGGAGGAAAAGAAGACAGAACAGTTATTTTCATAAAACAAAGTCGATAACCACTGTATAGCCAAAGTTGTTTTTAATAACTTTACACCAATAAGTTTAGTTCCTTCATAAACTGTGAAAGGCAGAAAAGTAAAGCCTCCCATGTCTGATCACAGAGGAAGTCCTCTATATTATTCTTGTTGCATTCTATTATGACTCAATTCTTTAACCTTTAGAAAAATCCGTAGTCATATCTTTAAATGGCTCAAATCTTTCTCAGCTAGTCTAGTACCTTTTTTTAGATAAATCAATATATTGTAATAAAATAATTTTGCCTAGCTCTTCCAGGTCATTGTTGAAATTAACTTTGCTCATATTAGGAAATAGATTTGACTGCAAGGGATTATTTCATTTAGAATCTGTAGTCCTGATACATAGAGAATGTAATTACCTCAAACCAGCTCACCCAATGGTAAATTTCAATAATTAGCATTAGCAAAAAAATACCAGCACACACTTTTCAGCTGGCAGTTTCTAGAGTCACATGAAACCACAGAGGAAAAGTATATATATTAGACAATATAATTATCTATGCCTACAGGATAAATAAATAATCGAATTTATTTCTGACTGTGGTGTCTTTTATCTGATGAGAAGACCTGAGTTATATGTATTATCTGATGTTTTCCATAATATTGGTTTGATATAACAACTGTAACAATCAAAGCTCATGGGTAACAAGTGGTAAACATGAGTCGGACTCAATTTCTAGTGTTTTCATGGTGCAATTTAGAGATGGAAATAATGAGTTTTGGGTTCATTTTCTGAACTGCGTTGATTAAACCTGTAGCTGTGAAAAATCTATTTCATCTAGGAATGACTCTACGTTTTGACATACATATCTAATGAAAATGCATTGTGAAAATAATTATGTATTTTGTATTCTTAGGGAGTTAAAATAATTTGGAGCAACATTGATAGCGTTACTAAGTAAACATCCAAATAATTTGTGGCATTGAAAATGATTATGCCATTCAGAAATATAGAGGTGTATTTAAATAATAAACACTCTCATGTGCTTACAAAATGTACTTATTTATCTAACATATTTTAGGGAATGTTTTATTTCGTGACATAATAAAATTTGTTTGTTATCAAGAGGAAAAAAACGGTTGACTGGAATTCAAATTTTATTAAGCATGTGATTTAATTCTTGCAAACCTAAATACTTTCAGATATCATAGGAACACTATACTGTGTTGAAATCTTCGCTCTTCATTAAACATATTTTATACATTATGAGAAGTATGCGTTCTATGGGATTGCTAATGGGGTTGCTCACCATTTAATTATAGTAGGACTCCTATCTTTCATTTTAAAGTTTCACAGAGAAATAAAGCACAAGTAATCTAGAAAATATTATTGCACTCAATATTTGTAGTTATGGCAACCTTAAATTTTCTTATCTCTGAAAAATAATATGGCTGATAGCAAAAAGTTTTTAGCGAAACTGCTAATATGATTATGTACTATTTGTCGGGAGAAATAAATATATCATCCTGAAAATAACTATATCACAACTATAAATATTTCTAAATGATATTTCTGAGTAGCATGCTCCTGATACTTTCAATTTTTTTTTTTTTTTTTCGTTTGAGACGGAGTCCCACTCTGTCACCCAGGCTGGAGTGCAGTGGCGCGATCTCGGCTCACTGCAACCTCTGCCTCCCAGGTTCAAGTGATTCTCCTGCCTCAGCCAAGCAGAGTTGAAGCCAAACATTTGAGCTGCAGTTTAACAGTCTTATGAGATTACAAAAGATTTTTTTTTCTCTTCTTATTTAATTTAGATAAGAATCTGCAGTACAGCCAAAGTACTCTCCACTCAAAAGGAATTATTCTTTGGCATAATTAGGAAACAAAGATAAATATTAGGAATGCCATCTAGGTGAATGTCTTCCTTAATAGTTTTTTTGTAAATAACTTTCTCTAAAGAAGAAAACAAAACTGAAAATAATATAGAGTTGTCTACCGTATTTTATGATTATTTTGCTATTAACCTAACGTTACATTTCCAAGAAAATGGAGGTAGAAGTTTACGACCAGGCAAGAAGTTACTGCAACAGAGTTGTGTTTCCTTTTAATAAAGAACACACACAAACACAAAAAAAATCAAGAATTTGTGATCTCAAGAAAAAGCAAATACATATATTGATATAAGTCGAATCATGTTACTTCTCTGCTCAGAACCCTGCAAAAGCTCCCATCTTATTCAGTGTAAATTTCAAAGTCCTTACAAAGATCTTCAAAAGCCTTCACCCTTTACCCCCTACCCACACTTATCAACATCCTCTTATCCCCTCTTCCTAACCGCATTTATTACCTCTTGGTTAGCCCTTGAATCCCATGTTTATATTCTGGTTGCTATGGCTGCATAACATAGTAACCCAAAATGAAATGGAAGAAAGCAGCTATATCTTAGTCCATGTGTGCTGCTATAACAAAATGCATGAGACTGGATTTATACGTATATAAATAGCTCTGGAGGCCGGGGAGGAAGTCCAGATCAAGTCACCAGCAGTTTCTGCATCTGGTGAAGGCTGGCCCTTTCTGCTTCCCAAATGGAACCTTGTTACCGTGTCTTTATGTGTCGGAAAGTAGAAGAACAAAATAGGGGATGTGTTACCTTCTCCTAAAGTCACACTTCTTAAAACTATCATATTGGTTATTAAGTTTCAACACATAAATTTTGGAGAAGACACATTCAAACCATAGCAAATTATGTTCACGGATCCTGAGGGTCATGATTTTGGAAAAAGTACTGCAGGGATGGCTTGTCACTCCTTCATGGGCTGGAATCATCTAAAGGCTTATTCACTTACATATCTAGCAATCGATAATGACTATCAGCTGGGGACCTTGTTTCTCTTCATATGTTCTTCTTCACGTGGTTTTAGCATGTGGGATAGTTTTGCATTCCTCACATAATGCTGATGAGTTTCAAAAGTGAGAGTCTGGAGAAAGAGAACCAGGAAGAAAGCGTATTTCATATTGTGACTTACCTGAGAGTCTGGAGAAAGAGAACCAGGAAGAAAGCGTATTTCATATTGTGACTTATCTTTGGAAGTCATATAGCATTACTTCCTTCATATACTATTCATTAAAACAATCACAACATCTAGATCAAGGAAAAAGTTAGGACAATGTTCTTGTCAAGGTCATAAATGACCTTGGTAAGATTTCTTTATCTTATTTTCTTATTTGAAATGTCAGAAACATTAAGCACAATGGACCACTCTTTCCTTCTTGAAACAATACCTTCTCTTGAGTTCCATAACAGCACATGTTAAAAGTCTTATCTTTAATAAAGGCAGCTCCTTTTTAGTTTCTTTTAATGTCTTTACTGTTTTGTTTTGTTTTTTGAGACGGGGTCTCACTCTGTTGCCCAGGATGGAGTGCAGCGGCCCTATCTCGGCTCACTACAACCTCTGCCTCCTGGGTTCAAGCAATTCTCCTGCCTCAGCCTCTTGAGTAGCTGGTATTACAGCCACACACCACCATGCCTGGCTAATTTTTGTATTTTTAGTAGAGATGGGGTTTCACCATGTTGGCCAGGCTGGTCTCAAACTCCTGACCCCAAATGATCCACTCGCCTCGGCTTCCCCAAATGCTGGGATTACAGGTGTGAGCCACCATGCCCAGCCTACCTTCTTTTTGTCCTCCAAAATATCAGTAAGCCCCTGGATATCAGGCTGACTTCTCTTTCTTTATCTGCTCATTTTCCCTAGAAAATCTTGTCTGTGGCTTTAAATATTAGCTCCATGCTAATATCTTCTAAGTGAATATATCCAGACCTTTACTGATCTCTAGATATGTATTTAAATACTTTATATGTTTATATATATAAAGTATTTATATATATACTTTATATTTTCATTTGGGCATCTAAAAATTACCTCAAAATTAGTGGGTCAAAAATTAATTTATTCATTAATCCTCAATCCATCTTTTCATTTGTTTGTTTTTAAATTTTTTTTGCATATCAGTAAATAATTTTACCATCTACAGTACACCTCACATTTCTTTATCAAATCTATTATTTTATCTTTATAATATTATAAATCTATCCTTTCCTCTACCTCTTCTACTACACTGCTAGCCTAAGTCATTAAATTCTCTAGCCTAGATTATTAAAATACTCTCCTAAAATGTGTTTTATATGACAGAAACAACTTGCAGTCCACCAAATATTTAGGCTTCCTTTCGATTGTGTAGAATTGTTGCATTAGCTACCCAGCTAGGTGCTACATTTTGAAATTCCTTGCACCAGCACACAGGGAAATGATGAGACAATTTCTTGCCAATGGGTGATGTGTTGAAAGGAACAATGTTACTTCTGCCCTAGCTGGCTTAGAAGCAAGTGACTTCTCTTAACCTATCTTTGTTCACCCACCAGCTAAAAACAAAGGATTGTGAAGTCCAAGAGATGGAGGAGTCAAGATATGGAAGGAGCTAAGTCTCTGAGTCACTGCCTTAAAAAGTGCCAGGCAAACATCCATATTGAGTTACATGTCATAAAAAAATTATTGTGTTAAACCACTCATATTCTGCAGCATTATTTTCTATAACAGTCTCTTCACCTAATTTAATACAATATGATTTCTAAGTCCTAAAGCAACCCCCAAGAAAGTAACTAAAAATAGTTAAAATTATTAAATGAGTTAAAATACCTTAATAGGAAAATATACACTTCATAAAAATAAATTAGTAAAGAAGAAACAGGGGAACAAACTAGTAATGGAATATATAGACAAAAAAAGCATGACAGCAGACACAAATCTAATCATATCAATGATACCAGGACAACCATATTGTTCTGATAATAATTCAATCAGAAGACAGAGGTTGTCAAACGGGTTACAAAAAACAAAAGAAACAGTATCTAACAATATGCTTTTTACAGGAGACACAATTTAGATCCAAAAATATCAGGTACTATCTATGTTCACTACTTGGGCAACAGGATCATGAAAAACCCAAACCACAGCATCACGCAAGATATCCATACAGTAAACATGCAGCATGTATCCCCTGCATCTAAAATTAAAAAATAATCCCATGAAAAATAAATATATTTATACTGAAAATAAAATAAAAAACAAACACAAAAAAAGATAAAATAGGTTGAGAGTACACTTTGCTTTCAAACTCTACTCCTTCCAATCCATTCTTTATTCGGAGTCTACTTCTTGAACTCACCTATGGCTTTCAATTACACTTAGAAACAATAAAATAAATTCCAAAGTTTGCCTTGTGTTTAAAGCCCTACAACATTGTTCAACAGGTGGATGTCCAGATTAGAAGCATCAGTATCACCTGGGAACTTGTAAAAAGTACAATCTGTTTCTGTAACACTCTCCTGTTTCGCTCAAGTACAAAAACCACTCCTCTACATGATTAATTAACTGTCCAACTGCTCTGCCCTCATTTTATGTCTCTATTTTTTTATTGCCCTAGAGCCATAGTTATTTCCTTTTGTCTTTTTGAACAGGCTAAATCAGGTCCAGTTTAAAGCACTTGGAGTATCTGTTTCCTCTGCCTGAGGAAATCCTTCTTTGGTATTTCTATGGTTCCTCTCTATTTTCACGTCTCCAATCAAATTTCACTCTCTTCAAACATTTTTTTCCATACTCCAGTCTAAGCAACCTTGTTCCACTGCTTGCGTCTTTTCCTATCCCCTCGTTCCATTTATTTTCCTTGCAGTTGCTTACCATTTTCTGAAATTACCTTGAGCACCCATTGGTTGACCATTTTTATGTATTCCCTTCCCCCCTTTAAAATATAAGATTCAAGAAACAAGAACTTCTTGTTCTTGTGATAGTTTACTGAGAATGATGATTTCCAATTTCATCCATGTCCCTACAAAGGACTTGAACTCAGCATTTTTTATGGCTGCATAGTATTCCATGGTGTATATGTGCCACATTTTCTTAATCCATTGTTGGACATTTGGGTTGGCTCCAAGTCTTTGCTATTGTGAATAATGCCACAATAAACATACGTGTGCATGTGTCTTTATAGCAGCATGATTTATAGTCCTTTGGGTATATACCCAGTAATGGGATGGCTGGGTCAAATGGTATTTCTAGTTCTAGATCCCTGAGGAATCGCCACACTGACTTCCACAATGGTTGATATTCTCACTTATCGGTGGGAATTGAACAATGGGATCACATGGACACAGGAAGGGGAACATCACACTCTGGGGACTGTTGTTGGGTGGGGGGAGGGGGGAGGGATACCACTGGGAGATATGCCTAATGCTGGATGATGAGTTAGTGGGTGCAGCGCACCAGCATGGCACATGTATACATATGTAACTAACCTGCACAATGTGCACATGTACCCTAAAACTTAAAGTATAATAATTAAAAAAAAGACAGTAGATATATTAAAAGAAAATAAAAATAAAAAAAATAAAAGAGCATGGCAACCCTCCCTTTCTCTCTTGCTCCTTCTCTCACCATGTGACATGCCTGCTCCCCCTTTGCCTTCTGCCACAAATAAAAGCTTCCTGAGGCCTCACCAGAAGCTGAGCAAATGCTGGTGCCATGCTTGTACAGTCTGCAAAACCTTAAGCCAAATAAACCTCTTTTCTTTATAAATTAAAAAAAAAGAAAGAAACAAGAACTTCTATATCAACAGTCTCTATAACAGTGCCAGACACATAGGATAATGGGTATCTAAGTGTTCATAATTATATTTCAATACATTTTATGTATATATAGTTACATGAAAACTTAATTACAAATATCTTTCGACACTGAGCATCATTTAGAACACCCCCTATTAAAGCCATCTTCTAGTATAATTGAGAAACTAGATGACCATTCCCAAATCAGATCTGCTGGCATTGTTGCTCTGACTTTCTTCCATTTGTTTTCTATTCTTCCTTAGGCAATGTCTTCCTTTGTCCTCTTCAACTCATGAGCTGAAGTTCACAAGAGATACACCTCTGCAGCTTCTAAAAGGGCTTCCAACATGCATTTCCTGGGGCTTTTCATAGGGCAGGCTATCTTTTCTAGATTGCCCTTTACTTTTATTCACAGCATCCATATGCTGCAGGTATTGATGTGCCATATTGATGTGCCATACTTTATTAATGAGAAAGAAAGTATTGCCACAAATGCGGTAAAGAGATTTTAAATTACACTCTTTATATAGATTTTCATCTAATCTGAACAAAAACCTCAAGAAAATAAATAGTTATGGAAGAGAACTTTATGGATGCACCCAGTTCCTAAGCTAATTTCTTTGTCCTCAAGTTCACTGTCTTCTTTGCAACTGCTCATCTTGTATCTTAGTGCAAATTTCTAACAACATTTTGAGGAACCCCATAAGGGCTGAGTTTACCCCCAAGTGCAATTTCCTTCCCTAATCAGTGCATCCTACCAAGCGGTCTCTAGTAGAATTTATTCTCCAAAGGAGACAAGGGCAGCATTTCTGAGCCTGCTTCCCTTCAAGGTCTCCCAACTAGATATTTTTTATTATTGTCATTGTTGTTGATATTGTTATACCTTAAGTGTTTCTGGTTTCTTTGTAGAAAGTATTAGACATGAAAATGGAGGTGGACTTTGGCTGGCGGGCTTCAGTGAGGAAGCCACTGCTGGTAGGCCACATTTAGTTACAGAGCTAGAAAATTAATTTTAAGTTCACAACTTTACATTGGCTTTCCATTTGAATATATTATTGCTATACATTTTTTAAAAGTAAATCTTCCTTGACCACCAAGATATTATACTCCATTGACAGTTACTTAAATCATTTCTCTTACCAGAATATAATTTTTGTGTCTAGGTGGCTAAGATATCAGTAGTGAAAGGAATGTTTAGGTGGCCATTTTAGTCACTCCTTTTAGGGTTGAGAAACTGAAGCCCAGTGAGAATTTCAAAAACAATACATATATAGCACATTTTCCCGTTGTTTGTATGGAAAAAATAATACCTGGAGGAGGTACATAGTCAGAGTTAAAAGAAGGTTATAAGTTTCAGTGATTAGAACATAAGATAAAGAGCAAAACAAATGTGTATATTACCCAATCCATCAATACATTTAGTAATTTTGTCTTACAAAAATACTCACAGAATTGCAGAAAATACCTTTAAGAATATTCATTGCAGTGTGATGGGCATATTGCAACATAGGAATAAACCATATAGCAATTAATGAAATAATGAGTAAATTATTGGATAAAGAAATATGGAATAATAAAACCCTCAAAAGAATATGTATAGATAATTTTACATGTAATGTATTGTTAGGTAAAAAGTAGATTGCATCACAGAACAAGATATATAGCATTATTACACTAAATAATGTGTGCATACATACAAACATGTAAGAGTTCATATGATCTATGTGTATGTGTACAGGAAAAGGTCTCAGAGAACATATGGGAACATACAAATGCTATTATTTTCTTTTTATTGAAAAGTGAATTTGTGTATGATGAAGTTTACAGACTTCCATATTTTTTAAAAAATATATTCCATTAGAATGTATTTATTTTGTTTTATATATATATATATATATATATATATATAGAGAGAGAGAGAGAGAGAGAGAGAGAGAGAGAGAGAGAGAGAGAAAACATATGTACAGAAGTCCGTCCTTTGTTGGGGAGATATTAAAGGTAGTAGATCATAATACTAATAAACAATGATTATACAGTGCCATGTATTAGCTTTAATGACTGTGGCCTAATTTAGATATTTCTGCGTTCCAGTTTTGCTAAAATGTCTTTGTTCAATATCAATTATTTAATGCTTTCTGTGAGCATATCAGTGCATTCATTAATAACTTGAAGTATAAACTATCATAGTTTGCATGCAGAAGTTCAATTTTTTGCTAAAGTGTTATACAACATATTTGGCCAGTTTGCTATAATCGTTTTAGTTGAGCATTTCCGATTCATGGCATTTTCTTGCCAATGGCAATTTCAAAAGTGTAATTGAAAACATATTAAATCATAACACTTAGGAGCTCATGTTAACAAAATACATTTTACATTTGGTATGCTTTCACATGAGTATCACATATGCTTTTAAATATATTAAAAAATTATTTAAAGTACATATTTATATGCAATTTATTTTAAATATATTTCTAAATGTTAAAAGGTTCTATTGGTTTTCTGTTTAAATTCTGAGGCAGTAACAATAAAGAGAAATTATTGAAAGTAGTAATTTAGAATAAAGAAACATAAAAGACCAAGGTCACTATAGAAATGCAACTCTTATAAAGAGTCTCAATAAATATTGTTTGTTAATAACACATATTGGGACTATGGTAATTTCATTACTTTATATCTGCATTTAAATGTGCTAAGCAGAGCCAGGAAAATTAAAACCTTGTGAAATTGGTATTTAAGTGAAAATAAATGTGAAGATGAGAGTTGTCTATGTGTTATTTGAAATGAAGTCTGAAGTCTTGCAATCTTCTTCCCTGGAGGGTTACTGAATGAGAAAAGAGTGATAAGAAAGAACTTAGCATGAACCCTTAAGTTAGTATTAAAAAAGCCAACCAAGAGCACTTTGCTTCATGAATCTGTACAATGCAGTGAAGATATCCAAAGTGTCTGGCAGTACACAATAAACTTAAAAATAACTGTTGATAAATGTATTTATTTTTAAAATAGAATTTTTCTTCTTAAAACTCACATCCAACTCACCTGCTACAGATGATAACTGTGACACTATGGACATCAGATTTGGTTGTTTATACAGACATTCATTTCTTGAATGGCTTTTTAACCCAAATTATTGTCAACCTATTTTTCCAAGCCTTTTTCACCTATAGAATCTGTTCTCTGAATCTGTGAAATCAGTTCCTCTCAATTATTGACTAATTTATGACCAAGGCTTTCACAGACTTACATTTACCTATTACAAAGTCTCCAATTAGTCTTGGAGCTAGAAGCACGGTGTTTAGATATAAAGTACTAACTTCTCGTAATAAATAAACAAAAACAGAAAAACATATACACATACTATAATTTTAAAATATTATAAATAGACCAGGCGCAATGACTCATGCCTGTAATCCCAGCACTTTCGGAGGCTGAGGCAGGCGGATCACAACGTCAGGAGATCAAGACCATCCTGGCTAACATGGTGAAACCCCGTCTCTACTAAAAATACAAAAAATTAGCCGGGCGTGGTGGCGGGCACCTGTAGTCCCAGCTACGCGGGAGGCTGAGGCAGGAGAATGGCGTGAACCCCAGGAGGCAGAGCTTGCAGTGAACTGAGATCACGGCACTGCACTCCAGCCTGGGCGACAGAGCAAGAATCCATCTCAAAAGAAAAAAAAAATTATAAATAATATGTTTATAATGTTATAAATAATATTTTCATATGCAATGGTGTTTATGCCATGTTATTGTCAGTATATTTTTCTTTCTTAACTTTTAAATTCCAGGTGTTTTGACCTGAGTACTGACACATTATTAATTCCTCCTTTTTCTTTCTCCGCAGGGGTTGGACTTCAGCTTTCATAATTCTGGGTATTGAATTGTGGCTATCACTATCCTACTGCATAGTGACTCACCAATGAAGAATCACATTTTTGTTCTAACTTACTAGAAGCAGAATCTACAACATCTTGGTGGGGCAAAAATGGTTGTGGTGCTCAACAGTGAAAGGGCCAATGCTTGGTTGGGTCCAGGCCTCAGACCTAAATTGGGTAAAAAACGTTGTACAAAATATCCAGTAGCAGCAAACGCCAGAGATTAAGAATTATGTGTAAACCTTGTCCTAGAGCACACTATAAATTAAAATGGGGAAGGAAACTCTTCTCTTAATTTCAAGGGATTTAAGGGGGACAAGAAGCCATTGAAATGAAGCCAACAGTGGCAAAAATAAACAAACAATAAATCAGATAATTTTCCAGTCATTTTCTAGAAAGGAGTCTACAGAGCCTGAGACACCTTGATTGACCTTTAGGTGACTTTACGTAGTTGGGCTGTGATAGAAGCTAAGCTTATTTTAGCTGCTCTTGAAGACGGATGAAAAGTGTATAGTGGCTGAAACATGTTAGAAATTTATTTCTTGTTCACCTAACACTACAAAAAATAGTATTTGCGCTCCACAGTCTATACAACCTAGTAATAATTCAAGGATTACTGTCTGTGCACCTAGGTAAAAGAATAAATGGGTGTGGTGAGTTAGCTAGTCATTGTTATAAACACCGTTATTTAAAGACACATGACTGACATTGATCTTTCTAGAGAACTGGGTTTAAATGTTCAATCTGCACCTCTTTTGATTGGTGATGATCTTGATCTGTACATATTTTTCATGTACTATAGCTGGATTCGCTGTCTACTATTTCTCAAGTTTCCTTGAGGGTAATCTAGATTACCTATTCCTATTCTATCCCAACTCTGAAATCCTTTCCTTTTTTTTCTGCAATTTCCTTTAAGGTCACTGAATACTCTCTAATAATGATTGCTTGAAATATGATTGTCAATGTGTTAAGGAGGTTAACATAATTAATATGACATCTGTTAGCAATCTACAACTTGGAGATAATTGTTATGCATTTCTAATGACATGTGAAAATGCTTTGAAAAAGCATGAGTTACTATGTAAATGCAAGTTAATATTAAGGGAAACCACGAGGTACTGTGAGTCTACTTTATTCCAATACAAATGCTGTCTCCTTTCTATTGTACTTTCCTGTGCTACTATGTACTCTAGGTATCCATTGTTTTGTGCTTTGTGGGAGAGTAGACCCCTGAAGTGACCTCTGTGGACAAAAGATATAGATGACAGGGATGAAGTTGGAATGTCTGCCTAGTCTCTAAAATATAGAAATGATGAGAACTTTTTAATACATGGCCTTGCAGGTTGCCTCAGTGTGGCCTCAATGGCCTTGGGACATCATTATGAGTATGAGATTATTTAGGAAACGATATCCTTATAGTTCTCTATATAGCATTGTTTGCCCTATACCTTCTACCTCCCTACCCCAGCAATAATCAGCTTCATCAATATCGAGATGTTAAAAGTGTGGGAGAGAATAATTGAAATGTAAAAACTGAATCTTCATTTCCTTTCTTTCCTCTTTCCTTTCTTTCTACATCATTTTGTAAACATCCAATTCAATACGTAAAGTCACCTTATGTTGATTTTGACTGGCTTCCTCTCAGTTGACGTCTACATTTTTGAGGTATATAAGATTCCTAAATGTGTGGAGTCATGTCAGCTTCCCTCTTATCACCCTTATTAGTCTTCTGTGAGTTCAATATTCCCCATGGAAGAAGAAGAAGAAGAAACACAGATTACAGGAAGTTTAGGTTGCTTTCCTACTGTTGTGTAAACAACTGCTTGTCCCTTGACTCAGATTTTACGATAAAAATATTGGAGCCCTCCTGTTCTCAGGTCTGATTTGTGTAAACATCACCTCAGAATGCACTCACAATCAGCACCAGAAGCCTGCCAAGCTAAAGTTAAGAAAATAGCTGCAATCAATTATTGGTGCTTTTACATACTAATTTCCTTGCCATCTAAATGTGGATAAATAGAAAATCTAATTTTTATTATACCTTACCTACAACTATTAATAAATATTAATGCACATGACTGTGGCTGACCTCCTCCTAGATTTAAAATCAATGGTTGTTGATTAAGGTCTTTTGGGCAACATTACAAAGCTGAAGACTTGCTATTTATTCCCATTGCCTATTCTCTGATCCCAAAACAGGTTAACAGTGAGCCTATTAAGAAGAGAAAAGTATTGGAGCACAATCTGGTCAGATAAGAATACCTGAACAGGAAGGTATTCTTGTGCCTTTTGAAGCTATGCTGTGCCTTTTGAAGCTATATGGGGAATATAACATTGTTCATTCATTCTTATCACTTGTGATTTTATTTCTGATTTTTCCATTTTTAATGACAAGAATACCCTTTACAGACTTTTTTTATCCATATGCGAGCCAAGAGTAGCAAATTAAAGTATATATTTTTAATTTTATAATTTCTTATTTTTTTCTTGTTGATTTTAATCAAAATCCAAATTTATAAGAAATGGAAAACATTCCAAGATGGCTGAATAGGAACAGCTCCAGTCTACAGCTCCCAGCATGAGCAACACAGAAGACAGGTGATTTCTGCATTTCCAACTGAAGTACCGGGTTCATCTCATTGGGGCTTGTTGGACAGTGGGTGCTGGACAGTGGGTGCAGGACAGTGGGTGCAGCGCACTGAGCATGAGCTGAAGCAGGGCGAGGCTTCGCCTCACCCAGGAAGTACAAGGGGTCAGGGAATTCCCTTTCAGAGCCAAGTAAAGCTGTGACAGATGGCACATGGAAAATCGGGTCACTCCCACCCTAACACTGCGCTTTTCCAAAGGTCTTAGCAAACGGCACACCAGGAGATTATATCCCACCCCTGGCTTGGAGGGTCTCACGCCCACAGAGCCTCACTCATTGCTAGCACATGAGTCTGAGATAGAACTGCAAGGTGGCAGCTAGGCTGGAGGAGGGGCACCCACAACTGCTGAGGCTTGAGTAGGTAAACAAAATGGCCTGGAAGCTCGAACTGGGTGGAGCCCACTGCCGCTCAAGGAGGCCTGCCAGCCTCTGTAGACTCCACCTCTGGGGGCAGGGCATAGCCGAAAAAAAGGCAGCAGAAACCTCTGCTGACTTAAATGTCCCTGTCTGACAGCTTTGAAGAGAGTAATGGTTCTTCCCGCACGGAGTTTGAGATCTGAGAACGGACAGACTGCCTCCTCAAGTGGGTCCCTGACCCCCAAGTAGCCTATCTGGGAGGTCCCCCCCAGTAGGGGCAGACTGACACCTCACACGGCTGGGTACTCCTCTGAGATGAGACCTCCAGCGGAACGATCAGACAGCAGCATTTGATGTTCAGCAATATTCGCTCTTCTGCAGCCTCCGCTGCTGATACCCGGGCAAACAGGGTCTGAAATGGACCTCCAGCAAACTCCAACAGATGTGCAGCTGAAGGTCCTGACTGTTAGAAGGAAAACTAACAAACAGAAAGGACATCCACACCAAAACCCCATCTGTACGTCACCATCATCAAAGACCAAAGGTAGATAAAACCACAAAGATGGGGAAAAAACTGAACAGAAAAACTGGAAATACTAAAAATCAGAGCACCTCTCCTCCTCCAAAGGAACGCAGCTCCTCACCAGCAATGGAACAAAGCTGGACGGAGAATGACTTTGACGAGTTGAGAGAAGAAGGCTTCAGACAATGAAATTCTCCGAGCTAAAGGAGGAAGTTGGAACCCATAGCAAAGAAGTTAAAAACCTTGAAAAAAGATTAGACAAATGGCTAACTAGAATAACCAATGGAGAGAAGTCCTTAAAGGAACTGATAGAGCTGAAAACCATGGCACGAGAACTATGTGACGAGTGCACAAGCTTCAGTAGCCGATTCGATCAACTAGAAGAAAGGGTATCGTTGATTGAAGATCAAATGAATGAAATGAAGTGAGAAGAGAAGTTTAGAGAAAAAAGAGTAAAAAGAAATGAACAAAGCCTCCAAGAAATATGGGACTATGTGAAAAGACCAAATCTGTGTCTGATTGATGTACCTGAAAGTGACAGGGAGAATGGAACCAAGTTGGAAAACACTCTGCAGGATATTATCCAGGAGAATTTCCCCAGCCTAGCAAGGCAGGCTAACATTCAAATTCAGGAAATACAGAGAACGCCACAAAGATACTCCTCAAGAAGACCAACTCCAAGACACATAATTGTCAGATTCACCAAAATTGAAATGAAGGAAAAAATGTTAAGGGCAGCCAGAGAGAAAGGTCGGGTTACCCTCAAAGGGAAGCACATCAGAATAACACTGATCTCTCGGCAGAAATTCTACAAGACAGAAGAGAGTGGAGGCCAATATTCAACATTCTTAAAGAAAAGAATTTTCAACCCAGAATTTCATATCCAGCCAAACTAAGCTTCATAACTGAAGGAGAAATAAAATACTTTACAGACAAGCAAATGCTGAGAGATTTTGTCACCACCAGGCCTGCCCTAAAAGAGCTCCTGAAGGAAACACTAAACATGGAAAAGAACAACCAGTACCAGCCACTGCAAAAAAATGCCAAATTGTAAAGACCATCAAGGCTAGGAAGAAACTGCATCAACTAATGAGCAAAAGAACCAGCTAACATCATAATGACAGGATCGAATTCACACACAACAATATTAACTTTAAATGTAAATGGACTAAATGTTCCAATTAAAAGACACAGACTGGCAAATTGGATAAAGAGTCAAGACCCATCTGTGTGCTGTATTCAGGAAATCCATCTCACGTGCAGAGACACAGATAGGCTCAAAATAAAGGGATGGAGGAAGATCTACCAAGCAAATGGAAAACAAAAAAAAGCAGGGGTTGCAATCCTAGTCTTTGATAAAACAGACTTTAAACCGACAAAGATCAAAAGAGACAAAGAAGGCCATTACGTAATGGTAAAGGGATCAATTCAACAAGAAGAGCTAACTATCCTAAATATAGATGCACCCAATAAGGAGCACCCAGATTCATAAAGCAAGTCCTTAAAGACCTACAAAGAGACTTAGACTCCCACACAATAATAATGGGAGACTTTAACACCCCACTGTCAACATTAGACAAATCAATGAGACAGAAAGTTAACAAGGATATCCAGGAATTGAATTCAGCTCTGCACCGAGTGGACCTAATAGACATCTACAGAACTCTCCACCCCAAATCAACAGAATATACATTCTTCTCAGCACCACACCACACCTATTCCAAAATTGACCACATAGTTGGAAGTAAAGCACTCCTCAGCAAATGTAAAAGAACAGAAATTATAACAAACTGTCGGTCAGACCACAGTGCAATCAAACTAGAACTCAGGATTAAGAAACTCACTCAAAACTGCTCAACTACATGGAAACTGAACAACCTGCTCCTGAATGACTACTGGGTACATAATGAAATGAAGGCAGAAATAAAGATGTTCTTTGAAACCAACGAGAACAAAGACACAACATACCAGAATCTCTGGACACATTTAAAGCAGCGTGTAGAGGGAAATTTATAGCACTAAATGCCCACAAGAGAAAGCAGGAAAGATCTAAAATTGACACCCTAATATCACAATTAAAAGAACTAGAGAAGCAAGAGCAAACACATTCAAAAGCTAGCAAAAGGCAAGAAATAACTAAGATCAGAGCAGAACTGAAGGAGATAGAGACACAAAAAGCCCTTCAAAAAATCAATGAATCCAGGCTCTGCTTTTTTTAAAAGATCAACAAAATAAATAGACCACTAGCAAGACTAATAAAGAAGAAAACAGAGAAGAAACAAATAGACACAATAAAAAATGATAAAGAGGATATCACCACCGATCCCACAGAAATACAAACTACCATCAGAGAATCCTATAAATACCTCTATGCAAATAAACTAGAAAATCTAGAAGAAATGTATAAATTCCTCAACAGACACACCCTCCCAAGACTAAACCAGGAAAAAGTGGAATCTCTGAATAGACCAATAACAGGCTCTGAAATTAAGGCAATAATTACTAGCTTACTAATCAAAAAAAGTCCAGGACTAGATGGATTCACAGCCAAATTCTACCAGAGGTACAAGGAGGAGCTGGTACCATTCCTTCTGAAACTATTCCAATCAATAGAAAAAGAGGGAAGCCTCCCTCACTCATTTTATGAGGCCAGCATCATCCTGATACCAAAGCCTGGCAGAGACACAACAAAAAAAGAGAATTTTAGACCAATATTCCTGATGAACATTTTTGCAAAAATCCTCAATAAAATATTGGCAAACTGAATGCAGCAGCACATCAAAAAGCTTATCCAGCATGATCAAGTGGGCTTCATCCCTGGGATGCAAGGCTGGTTCAACATATGCAAATCAATAAACATAATCCAGCATATAAACAGAACCAAAGACAAAAACCACATGATTATCTCAATAGATGCAGAAAAGGCCTTTGACAAAATTCAATAACTCTTCCTGCTAAAACCTCTCAATAAACTAGGTATTGATGGGATGTATCTAAAAATAATAAGAGCTATTTATGACAAACCCACAGCCAATATCATACTGAATGGGCAAAAACTGGAAGCATTCTCTTTGAAAACTGGCACAAGACAGGGATGCCCTCTCTCACCACTCCTATTCAACATAGTGTTGGAAGTTCTGGCCAGGGCAATCAGGCAGGAGAAAGAAATAAAGGGTATTCAATTAGGAAAAGAGGAAGTCAAATTGTCCCTGTTTGTAGATAACATGATTGTATATCTAGAAAACCCATCGTCTCAACCTAAAATCTCCTTAAACTGATAAGCAACTTCAGCAATGTCTCAGGACACAAAATCAATTTGCAAAAATCACAAGCATTCTTGTACACCAATAACAGACAAACAGAGAGCCAAATCATGAGTGAACTCCCATTCACAATTGCTTCAAAGAGAATAAAATACCTCAGAATCCAAATTACAAGGGATGTGAAGGACCTCTTCAAGGAGAGCTACAAACCACTGCTCAATGAAATAAAAGAGGACACAAACAAATGGAAGAACATTCCATGCTCATGGATAGGAAGAATCAGTATTGTGAAAATGGCCATACTGCCCAAGGTAATTTATAGATTCAATGCCACCCCCATCAAGCTACCAATGACTTTCTTCACAGAATTGGAAAAAAACTACTTTAAAGTTCATATGGAACCAAAAAAGCCTGCATTGCCAAGTCAATCCTAAGCCAAAAGAACAAAGCTGGAGGCATCACGCTACCTGACTTCAAGCTATACTACAAGACTACAGTAACCAAAACAGCATGGTACTGGTACCAAAATAGAGATATAGACCAATAGAACAGAACAGAGCCCTCAGAAATAATGCCATATATCTACAACTATCTGATCTTTGACAAACCTGACAAAAACAAGAAATGGGGAAAGGATTCCCTATTTAATAAATGGTGCTGGGAAAACTGGCTAGCCATATGTAGAAAGCTGAATCTGGATCCCTTCCTTACACCTTATACAAAAGTTAATTCAAGATGGATTAAAGACTTAAACATTAGACCTAAAACCATAAAAATCCTAGAATAAAACCTAGGCATTACCATTCAGGACATAGGCATGGGCAATGACTTCATGTCTAAAACACCAAAAGCAATGGCAACACAAGCCAAAATTGACAAATGGGATCTAATTAAACTAAAGAGCTTCTGCACAGCAAAAGAAACTACCATCAGAGTGAATAGGCAACCTACAGAATGGGAGAAAATTTTTGCAATCTACTCATTGACAAAGGGCTAATATCCAGAATCTACAAAGAACTCAAACAAGTTTACAAGAAAAAAACAAACAACCCCGTCAAAAAGTGGATGAAGGATATGAACAGACACTTCTCAAAAGAAGACATTTATGCAGCCAACAGACAGGTGAAAAAATGGTCATCATCACTGGCCGCCAGAGAAATGCAAATCAAAACCACAATGAGATATCATCTCACACCCGTTAGAATGGCAATCATTAAAAAGTCAGGAAACAACAGGTGCTGGAGAGGATGTGGAGAAATAGGAACACTTTTACACTGTTGGTGGGACTGTAAACTAGTTCAACCATTGTGGAAGACAGTGTGGCGATTTCCTCAGGGATATAGAACTAGAAATACTGTTTGACCCAGCCATCCCATTACTGGGTATATACCCAAAGGATTATAAATCATGCTGCTATAAAGACACATGCACACATATATTTATTGCGGCACTACTCACAATACCAAAGACTTGAAACCAACCCAAATGTCCATCAATGATAGACTGTATTAAGAAAATGTGGCACATATACACCATGGAATACTATGCAGCCATAAAAAAGGATGAGTTCATGTCCTTTGTAGGGACATGGATGAAGCTGGAAACCATCATTCTCAGCAAACGTTCGCAAGGACAAAAAAACCAAACACCGCATGTTCTCACTCATAGGTGGGAATTGAACAATGAGAACACTTGGACACAGTAAGGGGAACATCACACACCAGGGCCTGTTGTGGGGTGGGGGGAGGGGGGAGGGATAGCATTAGGAGATATACCTAATGTAAATGATGAGTTAATGGGTGCAGCACACCAATATGGCACATGTATACATATGTAACAAACTTGCACGTTGTGCACATGTACCCTAGAACTTAAAGTGTAATAAAAATATATATATATATACACACACACACACACAATTTGAAAGCCTTGGGTTCTATCTCTAATTTATAGGATGAATATATTTTTAAAATATTTTCTTATGTATATTTCTTCTTTAAATAATCACTAATATCAGATACTGTGTGAGACACTGGAGACTCAAAGGCAGAGAGTACAAAATTCCTGCCCTTATGGAGATTATGACAACAAGGAATGCAAAGGAGGCTAAATAATTTTGTTCAAATAGTAAAGAGTAAAACTATATGCCTACCTGGAGCAGAGAGTATGAAACTGGGCATGTGAAATGCCAGTGTGTAAAATTACAACTTTATGAGTCTGAGCTTTCATAACTGCTTGGCCTCAAATGTGATCATCTAGAAGCATACATATATATTCATCTACACAGCAATGTGAAACTACTTAAAATTAACAAGATCCCCCCAAGATAATGCAGATGATGAAAGAAAAGAATAGCATCAATCTCTGAATCCTGAGAAAGCATCTGGGAATAAGGGAAGATTTAGTAAATAAGATGTGAAATTAGGAAGTAAAGATTAAGATGATCACGATGTGGGTGAAGTTTGGAAAATGCAGAAATTCACAGAGATATCCATCCCACTCCATCAAGAGGAAAGGCTAGTGGAAACTATTGAATGCTAAAGAGATCCAGCAATCAGGCTCATGGACAGACATTATTATTGTCTTCTTTATTGTTAATGAAGATCTTCTTAAAGAGAAGTTAGTATTTTCTCTGTTTGCTCTTCCTTAAGCTGATGTATCATTTCAAGTATGCCTATACAGGTTAATTATGTCATTGGGTATAAATACTTGATCATACAAAGAATTCTGTGATTTTTTAAAATGCCAAACTTAGTGGGCTTTTATATGCTTTATATATGTCTATGTAGTATATATTAAATATATTTTTATTTAATAGATAATATAATTATTTATTTATTTATTTAATAATTAATTAATTATTTAATTAATTATTTAATATAATAATTAAAAATTAAATATATATTTAATATATTTTCACTTAAAGTACCAGGCTTCTTTATATGCTTTACTCACCAAAAACAGCGGATCCCTGGCAGGAATTTTGAATAAGGCACAGCTGCTGATCCTAGGCTAGACACTGTTCTCTCTAAATTTATCTATCATCTATCTATCTATCTATCTATCTATCTATCTATCTATCTATTTATCATCTATCTATCTATCTATCTATCATCTATGTGTGTGTATGTACACACACACACATACATAAATAAGGTTTCATTGAGCTCTGGAGTGGAGAGCGTACGAAATTTACTACTACTTGTAATATTATATTATGGGGAAAAAATTCATCCGACATTCCAATATCTGATTTCCAAAGCTTTGAAGCTCCCTGCATCTAAATTGAACACTTCCTGCAGTAGCTTGTAGAGTTTCAAAGCCACCTACTGACCCTATCAGTCATGAGATACTCAGGAATCTGTCCAGGATTTTTAGACATATCATTCTTGCTGCTCCTACATTTACAGCATCTTGAATCTCTGGCAAGGTGCCTTCACTTTCCATGGCAGATTTAAAACACTGTGGTTTTTGCAGTTTTCTGAAATGGTAAACAACAAATGCAACTGAGTATTACTTACATCAAGCATGTATATTTCATTTGAAGCATGAGCTTAAAACTTCACAAAAATGCAAAGCCATAATCCACCCTTCAGGTAACAAACTGATTATATAATAGTTTTTGTACTTAACAGAAAATTAGAAATATTTCTGATAACCATGCTAAAATGTGGGATAAAAACGGGCACCTGTGAATTACAAAGCTTTGTTGCCATCAAGAGGCTTCTACTGACATGAAAATGCCTATGTGATTTATTTTAAAAAGGCTTTTTACTTTGTAATTGCTAGTTAGGAAATATTTTAATGTATTTCAAATGTTTGTGAAAATTAAGAAATAGGAGTTGATTATCACATCTTGTGTGTGGTTTCTGTTTTCAATATATACATATTTTATTGCTTAGAAGGCTGATCTCTCAATTGTGGCTCTCAAAAAGAAAAAATGGGACCTAATAAGACCTTGCGTTCGTTTTGTAATTCTAGATCTTGAGCATTGTATTTTTTCCATGATTTTTTTTCTTTTCAGAATCAGCCCAAACAAAAGTTTTAAAGCAAAATTGGTTTCATATCCCCTCCCCTTCCTTCTTCCATTTCACTTTCTATAGTCTCTTGGTGACACTACAACTTGGCCTCAATTTTCTATCTCAAAAAAAAGAAAAACAACAACAACAACTACGAAACGCAAACACAAACCCATCACTTTATCATCTACAATTTAGTTGGTTATTGTGAATGGAAAAATCCCTACATATAATTTCCAAGGAGCTCATGATTAATGCTATATATGTTAATTCTTCATTAGCAGTTTTAGAGATTAAAGACAATTATTCAAGACAAGTTTTGACACATTCAAGTTACTTTGACAAGCATTAATAGAATGTATATTTTATGAAAAACATGATTTTAGATAATAGAGTGGTAAAAATGAATGATAAAAGAGGGTTGGGATCTAATATTTTATTGTTTTCATGTATTTTTTCATTTTCAAAGTAATGTAATACCATTCCTGTGTTTTTTTTTCAAATAAAGAAACTTAAGCTCAAAGTCCTAAGTTATTTGCTCATGATGAAACAGTTTAAAAATATAAAGCATACATTTGAATACATGTCATCTGTTTCTGTGAAGCAGAATATGACAATAACATAAATAAGGCACAAATAAAGACTATAGAAAACTGGAAAGTGAGGCAAAGAAGGAAAAAGAGGTCTTAGCAGTCTGGGCAGATGAGAAAATACACGATAATGAAGATAATATTTGGGACTGGCTTAAAGTATATGTAAATAAAATTCACTTAAAAGGTAGGAGTATTACAGTTTTAAGAGTCACAGCTTAATGATCAATGGCTTAATAAAAATTTAGACTATAATAGGTAAAAGAGATACATTCATTTAGAAGAATTAGGAAGCATACATAGTGAAAAAGTGTGAGACGAGACCAGAAAAAAGTTAAATCATATCACTAAAATCCAGGTATGTGTGATACAAAAGTTATAAGTTGTGTAGAAGACCAGGAGAGTCTTTGAAGACTTTTAAGGAACGAACTTATTCAGCCTGCATTTTAGAGTGAATAATGTAGATACAGCATCTAATTTGGATTAAAAATGAAATTTTAGTCTAGATAAGAAGTTATAATGGTCTGTTTTAGATTGGTAGCTGCATAAGTAAAAAGATGGGTAAGAGACATACACTTCAGTGAGATACAATTTATACTTGGCAACTAATTGTCAATAAATGAAGATGTCAATATTTCTAGGATTTGGAACTTGGGTGAATTGGGTGATCATGATAATAATATCAACATAAATTAATAGAGGAGGAAGAAGTGCATACTGTAGCGTGATGAGTGATTATTTATTATTTAAGATTCCTGGAGAAAAGTTAAAGCCAGATAAGTAGAAGTTATCACACAGCTCTAAAATTACTTCAGGTCATGCAGCAATGTTAGAAGAGGATCTATGTTTAGCTTGTTCTTCCACTCTAACCAACCATTACTTACCTCTCATTGGCATCCTCAGTCTATTTTTTCTTAGGTTTGGGATTTCTATCAGTATTACATATTTACAATCTTTGATCTTAAGAAAGTGAGAACTACAGCAAACTAAAATGAAAATAAAATGATTTCAGTTACCATCTTATCTCTCTAGACTCTTTCAAAGTTTACCCTCCATATCCCTATTTCCCACTTATTCTTTAACTCGCTCCAATTTGGAATCCATTCCCTTTGCACCAACAAAGGTACCTCAATTGAAGTCTTTAATTATTTCAGTGTTGCAAAACTGCATAGTAACTCTGTCACATAATTAGATTTATCAAGAACATTCTATAAGATAATATTTTTTCTTGGAATGCATGACACTATACCCTCTTAGATAATTCTTTCTTACATTTAAGATCATCCTTTAGTCTCTTTCACAAAATTCAGCTCCTCAAAATATTTCTAAAACTGGACTGTTTTTCTTCATCTTTTTTTCCTCCTTCCTCTTCCCCTCTTCCTCCCGCATCCATTCCTATGGCTTCAAATACATTCTATACATGAATGGATTCACATTGGGTATCTTCATGCCAGACCTCTTTCTGGATGACAGATTTCTAAGCCCCAATGCTACTTGTGAGATTACTCTCTGGAATTTCAAAATCAAAATATTTATAACTGAACACTCTGTCTTCACCAGCCCTCTTTTAATCTTTTCCATCTCAGAAACAGGCCACACCTTTCCTCCTACTGATGGAACCAGAATCCTAGGAGCCAACTTTTACACATTTGTCTTCTTCACCTAACTCCGTCAATTTAAGAAGTTTATCGTCCTCCTAACCGGTTTCTTAGCCTCTACTTTATTCTTCCCCACAGCCCACACACACCAATCCATTCTATTATAACATAGTGCATGCCATATTAAAATAGACCATCCTAGTTTAGAAACTTAGAAAGCAAAATAATGCAATAAATACTGTGAGCTGACACCAAAATTAAGCAGTAGAATGTTACCAAAATGATGCATCTACGGGTGGGCTCCACCTCATCCCACATCTTGCCTTCCCTCACTTCTCTAAGAGGTTATCATTACCCTGAATACTGAGTGAAACTTTACTTAGATACTTGAAATAATTTTCTACATTTGTATGTATCTAAAAATATATTATTGTGGTGTTTTTAAATTTTGGATTTTTTTTAGTATTCAACAATTTTTAATAAGATATTATACTATTGGTTGATTTCTGGGATTTTTTTAAAATCAAGATGTTATTTCCAACATGCATAGATTCCAACTGATGAATTACCCAACTCTTTTGCTGGTTATATAGAAAGTAGATTACATTATGTCATTCTTCTAATTTTTGCTCTTTGAATTCTTCCCAAATCTACTAGCATAACCTAGAAGGTTCTGACCTTGCTCCCTTTTTTCATGTCACTAGCTCCTTTATCTTCTATATTACAACCATCCTGAATTTTTTTTTACTTCTTTTAATGCACCAAGTTCTTTTCCATTTCGGGTAATTGTATCAATGCTTTGTTTCCTCTGCCATGAATACACTTTCCACTCTGCCCCAAAGTCTTCATCTAGAAAATTCCTGCAAATTGTCTTCAGAAAGTTTTCTGATTCTTGTCTCTTAATCTACTCTCTCCCCTCAAAATTTACTGCTTTTATGAAACCCGTTACAACTTGAAAACTTCAATTCTTTCTTTTGTTAAATTTTGTTTGTTTTTTCATCCTTAATGTGAGGTGGGAGTGCATATTAACTGTTCAGACTATAATTTCCATGAGGGTAGTCACTGAGTGTCATTTAATACTACACACTTGTACCTAGTACTAGGCTCATAATAGATACTAAATAAAAGAATAAAACAGTGAAAATATTTTTCTCACAACCTATAGGACATACTGCTGAAAAGAACGTGTAAGCTTCCCATTATTTGTTTGCAAGTTTTGAAATATATATTTATAGTGATATGATTAGTTTAATTAATTAAAAGAGTGAAAATGTAACACATTATATTTGTGGATTAAGTATCAAGGTAAAATTCTGCCAAAAAAATCCTCATTCTAAATTTATTAATGCGCATCTTTTAGAAAACATAAGGATAATCAAGAGAAAACTAAACGTGGTAATTTTAAGTGCTGAATTATTATTCATTCATTGAGGGCAGCTTCATCATAAATTCCTTGAGAAACTTCTTTCTGAGCTGCTATTATCTTCTATATTCTATGATCTCTTTTTCCCATCATTCTTTTTTTTTTAATTGGAACTTAAAACTGCATGTACTTATCATGTACAGCATATTGTTTTAAAGCATATATACATTAAGGAATGACTAAATCTAGCAAATTTACATATACCTTACCTCACATATTTTCATAGTGAGAATACTTTACATCCATTCTCTTAGCATTTTTTTCAGAAATACAATATACTATCAGATATAGTCAACATGTGTACAATGGATCTCTTGAACATATTTCTCCTATTTAACTGAAATTTTGTATCTTTTGACAAACACCTCCCCAACTACTCCAGACCTTGGTGAAAACCATTCTACTTCTAACTTTCCATGAAATCAACATTCTTAGATTCTTCATATGAGTGAGAGCATGCAGCAGATGGCTTTCTGTCCCTGGCTTATTTCACTTAACATAATGGCTCCATATTGCAAACGACAATATTTTCTTTTTTATTATTGAATAGTTTATTGTGTATATATACCACATTCTTAAAGCCATTCATCCACTGATGAACACTTAGATTGATTTCATATCTTGACTCTTGTAAATAATGATGCAATAAACATGAAAGTGAAAATACCTGTTGACATATTGATTTCATTTTCTTTGAATATTCCTACTAATGGAATTGTTGGATCATGTGGTAGTTCTCTTTATAATTTTTTGAGAAACCTCTATAGTGTTTTTCATAATGTTTGTACTAATTTATATTTCCACCAACAGTATAAGAGTGTTTTTTTTCCCTCCACATCCTTACTAACACTTATCTTTTGTCTTTTCATAATAGCCATTCTTACAGGAGTGAAGTGATATCTCATTATGGTTTTAATTTGCATTTCCCTAATGATTAGTGATGTTAAGCATTTTTTCTTATGCCTCTTGATCATTTGCGTGTCTTCTTTTGAGAGATGTCTGTTAATGTATTTAGTCTATTTTAAAATTCGGGTTTTTTTCTTGCAACTGAGTGTTTTGAGTTTCTTATATAATTTGTATATTAACACCTTATCAGATGTATAGCTTGTATATATTTTCTCCAGTTCTGTATGTTGTCTCTTCATTCTGTTGACTATCTCCTTTCTGTAAAGAAGCTTTTTAGTTTGATATAATCTTATTTGTCTATGTTTGCTTTTGTTGCTTGTGCTTTTGGGGTCATATTATAAGAGTCATTGCCCAGAGCAATGCCATGGAGTTTTTCTTCTATGTTTGCTTGTAGTATTTTCATGTTTTGGTCTCACATTTAAATATTTCACCTATTTCATCCATTTTAAGGTGATGTTTATATAGTGTGTGAGCATAAGGTATAATTTAATTCTTCTGTATGTATATATTCAATTTTCTAACCACCAATAAATGAAGAGATTATTATTTCTCCATTGCAAGTTTTTAGAATCTTTGTTGAAAATCAGTCAGCTGTAAACGTGTGGACATATCCCTGAATTCTGTGTTCTCTTCCATTAGTTTATATGTCTGTTTATGTTTATGTGTTTGTGGTTTATGTGTCTATGCCAGTACAATATTGTATTGCTTCCTATAGCTTTGTGGTATATTTTGAAGTTAGGCATCATGTGGCTATCAGCTTTTTAAAATTGTGATTGCTTTGACTATTTGGTCTTTTTTTCTGATTTCATATGAATTTTAGAATTTTTTTTCTATTTTTGTGAAGAATGTCATTGGTATTTTCATAGGAAATGCAGTGACTCTGTAGATTGCTTTGAATAGCATGGGCATTTTAACAATGTTAATTCTTCCAGTCCATAATCATGGGTTATCTTTTCGTTGATTTGTGTCTTCAAATTATGTCATCAGTGTTTTATGGTTTTCAGTGTACAGATATTTCACCTCCTTCATTAAACTTTTTTCTAAGTATTTTGTTTTTTGTAGCGTTATAAATGAAATTTTTAAAAAAAATTCCTTTTCAGGTAGTTTGCTCTTGTGTATAGAAATACTGCTGATTTTTGCATGCCAATTTTGTATTCTTCAACTTTATTGGAATTCTGTATTAGTTCTAGCAGTTTTCTGGTGAAGTCTTCAGGGTTTTCTATATTATAAAATTATGTCATCTGCAAACAGAGACAATTTAACTTCTTTATTTCTAATTTGGATACTTTTGTATTTCTCTCTTCATTCAAATTACTCTGAATAGGACCTCCAGTATGATATTGAATAGAAGTGATTAGAATGGGCATTCTTGTCTTATTGTGAATCTTAGACAAAAAGTTTCCAGCATTTTTCCATTGAGTATGATGTTAGCTGCGGGTTTATCATATATTGTTTTTATTGTGTTGTAGTACAGTCCATCTTTACCTTATTTGCTGAAAGTTTTTATTATGAAAATGTTAAAAATTGTCCAATATTCTTTCTACATATATTGAAATGACCATATGGATTTTGTCTTTAATTACGTTCATGTGATTTATTCATTTATGTATGTTGAAACATCTTTGCATTCTTTGGATGAATCTCGCTTGATCACGTTGAATGATATTTTTAATGTACTACTGAACTCAATTTGCTAATATTTTGTTGAGAATTTTTGCATATATGTTATTTATGTTAATAAAGGTTATTGACCTGACCCGTAGTTTTCTTTCATTTATTTATTTTTTGTAGTGTCATCATCTGGCTTTGGTATCAGGGTGATGGCTGGCCTGGTAAAATAAGTTTAGAAGTATTCCTTCCTCTTCAAATTTTTGGAAGATTTTGAAAAGAGTTGACAATCGCTGTTCTTTAAATGTGTGATGGAACTCAACATTGAAGACATCAGATCATGGGCTTTTCTTTGAAGAGAGACTTTTTATTATTGATGCAATCTCCTTAATCATTTTTGGTTTGTTAAAATTTTACATTTCTTCATACTTCAGCCTTTGAAGGGTGTATACATCAAGGAATTTATACATTCCTTGTAGGCTATCTAATTTATTTGTGTGTAATTATTCGTAACAGTTCCTTAGGATCCTTTGCATTCTTTTGTCTTTCTTATTTCACTTACACTCATCTTTCTTGATTAATAACCCATCATCCCATAGCTTCAGACCTCTGCCTTAAAATCTTGACAAAATTTTACTTTTAGTTATTTAATTTCCCATTTTACTTTCTTTGGTTATTCTAGTAATTATGGGATTGGGCATATGGCCAGGCCTGTATTAGCCTCTGATACGATTGAAGTTCAGGGTAATTAGTCTTCTCTATGAGACTGGTGCCTGGCAGAAAACTGAAGTATGATTTGTAGACACGGCTAACCTAGTGGGTGACTGACTGATAAGCAAGAATTGTTTTCTTGATTTGTCCCAGAATCTGGCTGCTTGGACATGAGGCTAAAAGTGGAGGTTAAATAATTTTAGCTATCCTGGTTGAAAGTCTGTGCGAGGAATAAGGCGGAAAACCTATTAAAATAACCTTATGAAATTTAGAACATTTAAAATGGAAATTGAGGAATTTTCTGCAAGAAAGACATAAATAATTGTAGCCTGAAGCAGTATGCTAAGCTGGCTAGAGACTGTTCTCATGTAGCCAAGGCCATAGATCTACACAAGGGCCAGTTAGCTTTGAATTAAAAAAAATTCTCCTTATCATAATGCTACTCATAATGTAGGTCTTTTGCCAATATGTCCTTTAGACTCATATTAGAAGCAGGAAAGAGAATGAAGCAGCTCAGAGCATGCATACATGGATCTGGGAAAAGTAATTCAAAGTACATATTCTACAAATAATAGATCTAATAATAGATCTGCAGTAGCATCGTGCATATGAAGTTAAGCTCAGTTTCATAACTGTGAAGAAGAGTTGCAATATGTATAATGATTTTAACCTTGCCGTGTATAATTAAAATTTATTAACCAGTATAAAAATAGATATTCGCAGGATTTTAAGTAATGATCCTAGAATGGTCACCGTTATGGATAGAAAGATATATTACATTCACTATTTTTTGAAACTTATCATCTCTAAAAAAGCAAAACTCTTGGATTGTGTATCAGCTAAAGACCAAGAAGCTATTGGCCATAAAACTCATACCAGATAAAGTACTCTCTCTTCATTTAAATCCAAATATTTATATAGCATTTTTTAAGGTGGATCTATCTCAACTGTCAAAGGAAATAGTTCAGAAACCATCACAAGGATAAGCCAGTATATGACTATAATTTGAATTTATCCTATTTTAGTTCTAAATTCCAAAGATTAACTGCTGATTAAAATGATCTAAAATTGATCTTAGAACATTTAAAAATATATTATGATTTGATCTGAGTGAAATTATATCTTCTGCATTAATACATCACCCCAAGATACATGAAATACCCTAGGGCAAAGGCTTTCTTATTTCAAAGCCATAATAATAATTACTGCTTCACCAATGATAAAACATATGATCAGCAGAATATATGCTAAGACTATATTAGGGATGCTAACAGTTCAAGGTGACACGTAAGAATTGTATAGTTTGTAACAATAGCTAGTCCCTCAGGACAGCACAGCAATTTGTTTTTGCTTGTCCTGGATCATTTGCTTTTGGCCTCTTTTCATGTGTTCTTTCATAGTTCTATTCAGATTGTTTACCCATCTGTACCTACTTCAGTCTAAAAAACATCTTGTTCTCCATATCACAGAGAAAACAAAGGCTATCCAGTGTGAATTTCCTCCAACCCCCAAACAATCCATCCTTCCCTTCCTACATAGACATATGAATATCTGTCTTTTCTAAGTACAAATCCCTCTTCTTGCTTTCTTTATCCCACAGCCTCTCACCTAATCTTGTTGCCGTTTTCTGTATTTCTTTGGCACTGTAATGTAGGATTAGAACTTTGTGCTTTACCCCTTTCTCTTCCTGTGCCATCCACAGTCTACACATAGAGTCTGGAATGCTACATGTTGCCACGAACACCTCAATCACAGTAACTTAACTTTCATCCACATTACACATTGTTTTAAATATTATTTAAATAAAAATTGTGGATTAAAAAGACAAAACAAAACCACATACACCATCACTTAGTTGATTTAGTTCATTTTCATCATTTCAAATATACCAATTCAAAAACCCATACCTTCTCTCTCAGTTTTACTCAGGAGATAAGTCATTGGATAAAAAGACATCTTTTATTCAAATCCAAGTTTATCATATTCTTTCATATTACTATTTGACTGGTAGATATTTCATGACAGTTTATTTAACTCTTCCCATTTTTCCTGCAGCTCAGCCCCAAGGCTGAACAAACATGATTAGAGACTGTAAACACAGTGGTGCATGGTCCAGACAGGGGCAAAAAACAATAAAAGTGGTGGAAATTGTGATGAACTAAACAGACCAAACAGGCACATCTGTAGATAAGATTTTGCCCACTGACTGCCCATGTGAAGCCTCTCTCAGCTTTTCCAGTGATGTTCCTCTGTCCCTTCCTCCCAGTATTCGGTATTGATCTCTGATTCTGTCCAATGACAGGTATCTAACAATGTTTGAAAAATTAGTGAATAAATTAAGTGACCAATAGTAAAAAAAAGTCCACTCGGAGTTTTTTTCTAAATGGTTTATTCTGTTCTGTTATGGAATAATGTCCATGTAAAGAAACACACACAACAATTATCAAATTCCATTTCTTCATATTCTCTTGAGGGCTTTTAAAAATACTCTTTAACTTATTAAAAATATATATTGTCATTATCTATTAAACAAACACTCAGGATTTCCCCAAAGAGAATATCATTGATACTGCTCTTTCACTAGCTAATATCAGGCTAAGTTACAGTCATAAAAGTGGAGTTCTATTTTGAAAGCAAATTTTTGTTCACTTGAAGTAAATTACTCCTTCAAGGATACAAAAAGACTGACTATAATTTGGCACTATTAAGGTCCCAAGAACAGGTAATTTACAAAGATGAGAGGTTCATATCTAAGAAAGCATGTTTTTCTAACATTCTCCTATCATAGGATTAGACTCAACATTATTTTTTATCATGTTGTGTGTACTCTACTAAGTGAGGTATACAGCAAATTGAATACATGTCTCTTGAAAAAGTAAAGTGAAAATTAAAATCGTATACCTGAAGCTAGTAATTCTTATATTTTATAATATGCCATTAAGAATTAAGAATAAATACTTTAAAACGTGGAAGTGGCTGTGGAACTGGGTAATGAAAAAAGGCTGAAAGAGTTTTGTGCTACATGCTAGAAATGTAGACATTAAGATTGATTCCAGTGAGGACTCAAAAGAAAAGAGACGATCTAGAAATAAAGTCACTATTTTCTTAGAGAATACACAAATAATTATGAACAGAATGTTGGTAGAAATAGCAATGTTAAAGACCTTTCTAGTGAGGTTTCAGATGGAAATGAAAAGCAGCTTGTTGAAAACTGGAGGAAAGGCAATACTGTCACAAAATGTCAGACAGCCAGGCTAAATTGTGTTTAATGTCTTGTGGAAAGTAAAATTTATGAGTAAATAAATTGGATATTTAACTGAGGACACTTCTAAAGCAAAGTATTGAAGGAGTAGCTTGATTCCTCTTGACTGCTTATATTAAAATGTAAGAGGAAAAGATGGATCGTGATGAGAAAAGACATGAAATGAAGAAGGACTTGTTAAGCAAAAAGGAACCAGAATTTGAAAACTTGGGAAACTGTCAACCATCTATATTGCAAAATATTAATAAGCTTTGTTCTGAAGAGAAACTAAGGGTATGGGCTGAACAACCATTTGGTAAAGGAAATTAGTTTGGGTATACATTGCAAATATGACAAGCCACCTCAGCAGAAGCCAGGAATAGAGATGAGATTATGCCATCAGAAACACCGCCTGCTGGGACTAAATGAAATAGAATAAAAAAGAGGGAATGAAAGAAGACATTGGACTCCAAGAATTTTACAAAATGAGAAATTATGACTAGAGCTATCCATATGCAAACGTGCTTTGCCCTTCATAAAAATGGAAGAATAATTTCAAAGGTGATTCAGAGATCATCAAGGCTGTCACTCCTTCCACCGGTCCAGGGGACAAGACTACTTTCTCCTTAGTTTCACATGATAGGGCCCCAAAGAAGGCCGTGAAGCAGCATCTTGCAGTATCATGGGTGTGATACTACCACCATGGTGGGACTGGAGGGCAGAGCATCAAATGAAAGAGAACTGTTTTTGAGCTTTAAGATTTACTGAATTTTTTCTTTCTAGGTTTTGGACTTTCTTGAGACCTATCACTGTTTTCTTCTTTTCATTTCTCTTTTATGAAATGGAATGTCTATTTTATGTCTGTCTTACCTTCATATTTTAAGGTATATAACTTGTTTAGTTTCACAGGTTCACAGCTGGAGAGGAAATACGATGATTTAGATGAGACTGAACTTTTGACTTTAGAGTAGATGCTGGAATGAATTAAGGCTTTTGGAGTTGTTAGGATTGAATGAATGTATTTGGCATGGGCTAAAAGCATGAATTTTGGGGAGCCAGGGGAGACTAATATGAACAGAATTTTGTTCCCCAGAACTCACATGTTGTCACCTTAACCTCAAATGTGAAAGGGACTATGTGGACATAGAGACTGCAAGGAGGTGATAAGGGTTAAATGAGGTCATAACTGTGGGACCCTAAACCTGTGCCAATAAAATTTGTGTCCTTATAAAAAGAAAAAGAGACACCAGAGCATGCTCCTGCACATATACACAGCAAAAAGGTCACGTGATAACACAAATAGATGGTGGCTGTCTACAAGCCCAGATGTCAGCCCTCACCAGAAACTGACCCTACTGGACCTTGCTCTTTGACTTCAAGCCTCCAGAACTGTGAGAAAATTAATTTCTGTTGTTTAAGGCTTCCAGTCTGTGGTATTTTTGTTATGGCAGCCCAAGAAAGCTAATGTAATTAGCTTCTTCACATTGTAGTAGATGCCAGCCACAGCATATATACCTAAAGTTTTAAATTATTCATATACATAACCTCAATCTGACCATCTGGCTATGCTGTATATAGCTCAATAATACTGTCTTATCATATAAATTTGCCTCATTTTGCAACTAGATGGAAACTAGGACGTCTTGATTTTGAGGTATATATATTTTGGTCATTTTATTATTTTTTCTATGATCATATGAAGAAAGAAGGAGGAGGAGGAAAAGTTAAGGAGAAAAAAGAACAGGTCTTCTAATTGTCAACAACATCAAAAAGAGACTACTTGTCACACAGTCTGTCAATAGGTACATTTGAACGCAAACTGTATGCAGAATATACTGTGATTGAGAACCTGTTTATTTTTCATCAGAGTAGCAGAAAGTGATTTAAATAACCTGCTTTGTGCAAGATTCTATGCACAATAATCTTCAAAAGACATATTTGTTTTCCCCCAAAATTCTCATAGCACTGATGAGCCCTGGCTGGAGTAGATGAGAAGAGGCTGCCCTTTGATAAGCATCAATATTTTGGGACATTGCAGTATCCTCTCAGCAGCTTTCTGCTTCCTTTCTTTCTCTGTAATCCATTTATCACAGGAGTCAGAGTGGTTCCTTTAAAACATACATCCCAAAACATCACTCCTTTTCTTGAAACATTTAAAAGCTTTAGCATCCCTCACAGAAGTTGCCACCCTTACACCAGCTCCTGAAGTCCTACTTGCTCATGCCTAGAATCTTTCTTCTAGTTTATCCACTTTGCTCTTCCTAATCTGTTCTAGCCACACTGATTTTTGTTTTATAGTACTTAAATTTACCAAGTTTATTCTCCATCTACTTTGAATGGAGCATATTACTCTTTGCAAAATTGGTTTATTCTTTTTTTTGTAAATTCTTAGTACTTATCTTTTAGAGAGGAATCCTTTAACAACCTAAAGTTGTCACATTATTCCATCATTATATAGAATTTTCTACCTAGCTGCCTTTATTGGGTAAAGGTCTTATATGTTTACTATGTTTCTTTCCACACAAAAAACCCCATGACAATAGAAAACTTCTTTCTCTTGCTCACAGCTGCATTCTTAAAAAAGACAACAAAAAATGAATTACCAGAGTGGATGATCAATAAAGTTTTGTAGAGTGAATGAATGCCTGTGTATAATTTACTTATACTTAGACAATGGAGCAATGCAGCAAATTAATAAAAGCATACAAGTGCTTAGAAAGTAGTGAGCACTGCATTGAATGTGTTACCTGTAATAACTAATTTAATCTACACCTATACATTATTATTCCCAATTTAGAGGTGAGAAAACTGATCCTTACAAAATTTAATGTACTTACAGTCCCACAGCTATTAAATACTAGAGCTGGGATACACAACCAAGTCTTTCTGACTTCACATTTGGAAATCTAATAACACTAACTATACAATGTTATGCTAGACCACCACAAGGAAAGATTGATATTAGATTGGGTTGAAAATCAATGCTAGAATCCAGAGAGTGGGAAAATGCTATGGACTGAACTGTGTTCTCCCAAAATTCATGGGTCGAAGCCCTAACCCCCAGTGAGACAGTTAGTAGGTAATTACAGTTAAATTAGTTTATAAGAGTAGAGTTTTTTAATCAATTAATTAGAATTCATGGTTTTGTAAAAAGAGAAAAAGATGCACCCAGAAAAGTCTATGTGAGGACACAGTGAGAAAGCAGCCACCTGTAAGCCAGGGAGAGAGCCCCCACTAGATCTCCACTGTGATCTTAGACCTCCCAGTTGCAGACTGTGAGATAATATATTTCTGTTGTTTAAGCTACCCGGTCCATGATATTTTGTTATTGCAGCCCAAGCAGGTTAAGACACAAACAAATATTGCAAGTTGTTTTATTATCTCTGAATAAAAAATTTTTAAAAATTGGTGAAATCACTCTAGTCAAAATTGTTTCTGTATTATTTGTATACAACACTTATGAAAGTTCCAGCTCCATGATATCTCCCCTCATTTACTCACCTCTAAATCACTTCAGTTCAGTTCTAAGAAATGCAGATTTTTAAATTTAAGAAAGATAACCTTTATATGTTCAGAAATTTGTGTTGTCAAAGAACAGAAATAGTAGAAAGGTGGAGTTTTAAATAATCATCAATTGGTAAAAACTTGTTTTTTGCAGGCTTAATTAGGCAAATTTAATTTTGAAAACACGTTTTAGTTATAGTGTAAAATATTTTCATGTTGATGGCACTTTCTCAGCGCTCCTTCTTCTACTGCCTAGTTTAACCACTAAGCAGAACGCTCATTAATTCAAAAATATGAAATGGAAATAAAGAATTAAGTGGATGGGTAGGGAATTTTGGAAATGAACATCTCTGAATCTGATCAGAACCCAGCTGCTATGTAAATGCACAATTAAATAATTGAAATAATTATTAATATGTATTAGTATAGAGAAATACATTTTTAAGTGGAGGATGTATAAAGGTGTCTCCACTGATAGGAGACAGTAAGATTTTATTTAAATATATGCAGATTTTACAGTTAGTATTTATAAGTGCTCAGGAAGCCTAGGCATGTGTTTTATAAGTTCAGGAAATATTATTTTTCCTAGTTAAGTTTGGACAGAATAGAAACAGAGATTGATTACTGGTTCACGCTAGCTTCTAATTAATAAAATAATTTTAAATCTTAATAATCAATTTTTCTAATCAAATGTGATATTTTAAACCTGTATCCAAATTAAAAACATCCTAAAAAGAATTAAAATCAAAATGTTATGTCATAAAATTTCCAGAGGAAATTTGATAATAATAAGGGTTTTTGATTTGGAAATTTTCTCTAATAATCCTTTAATGGAAATTTAAAGGCTGTATATCATATCTTAAAATTCTTTCTATCATTATTCCTCTTGTGGCCTAATTCTGCCACCAAATGAGTTAAATAATAATTCAATCTGTTAATATCAGCTTAATGCTTAAGATTTCCTGAAAAACTAAGTTAAATTGTATTCAATCAACAACATGATAGTGTTGCTATTTTATAAACATGAGTGACTAGTTCTTTTCCAAAAGCACATTTCATTTTTTTATTTCTGATGCCAAATGTGCATAAGCAGTTATATGATTATTCGGAAAAGAAAAGGCAGAAATCTACTTTTACATAATTTTTCTATTGCTTAAGTAATTATGAAAACTGTATTCAGGACCCTGTAACAGCCTGCATCTTTGTCTAATAAGATGTGCCTTGACACCATTCTATGTCAAAACAGAGCTATCTTGCTTTGAAGTAGAAAATTAATCTGAACTTTTATTTTAATTTCAGGGGTAGATGTGCAGGTTTGTTACACAGGTAAACGTGTGTCGGGGGCTTTATTGTGGTTTATTGTACACATTATTTCATTACCCAGGTATTAAGTCTAGTATTCAATAGTTATTTTTCCTCATCCTTTCCCTCCTCCTTCCCTTCACCCTCGGATAGGCTCCAGTGTGTGTTGGTGGGTGTGAACATTTTATAGTGAAAAATGAACATTGCTTTTTCAATTTTCAGTAAAATCTACTGGTATATCTGCACTGCCCACTCAATTCAAGAGTACATTTTTACTAAAAACACATTATTTATTTTATTATGTTATTTTTAAAATATTGGATCAGAGTCATTTGCTTTTAAAAAGGAACTTAAAAATTATTTTATACCAATAACTGGGTATTGTTTAAAATTCTACAAATAAAAATTGCATGTAAATAAATTCCAGATGTTAAACTATTTGACTTTTTATGTCAGTCTCTACAGAGCTCAAGAATGAGTCAGTAGGGGCAGTATTTCCAAGAATTTCCTTATCATAAGAATCATATGGGGGTATATTAAAAACACTCCTAGGCTCCACAAACCAACCTACTAAATCAAAGCCTCATCAGGAGAATTTTTCCACATTAATAAAAACTTAAGATAGAACATTTCAAATACGTAAAAAATATAACAGTTACTATAATAAACTCATTTGCACCCATCACTCAGCTTCAACAATTATCAACTCATGATGAAACAAGGTAACTTTGAACATACCATGCTGTCCCCTTCTGGACAAAACTTTTTAGCAAATCCAAGACAACATTGTCAATTCATCCCTACATGTTTCAGAATATAGCTCATAAAGGAGACTTATCTTTTAATAAGGCCACAATAAAATTATCACTCAGAAAAATCCACCAGTAGTTGCTAAATAGCATTTGTCAATCACTGTTGACATTTTTCATCGTTTTATAAATACATTGTTTTTCTAGTTTGTCTGAATCATCCACAAGACCACTTAATTTACTTGATGTTTATATATTTTAAGTCTTTTAATATATGGACTCCCTCTCATTATCGCTTCATGTTCTTGCAATGTGTTTACCAAAGATTCATATCCATTTTAACAAAAGCCTCTCAAGATTCTTATCAAAAAAGTTTGGGAAGTTCAGAGCACAGGAGTTTAGTTCAGGTATATGTGCATCCATAGACGTGCTTGGTTTCATAATTGTCTTACTATAAACCTGAACAAGGCAGTTGACCTTTCTATTATGTGTTGCTCCATGTGCAGAGCAGTGATAATACCTGTTGTCTTCTTCACAAGGATGCTGTAAGATTAATGAGCTAATATCGATAAAGCACTCTGAACTTATGAGAAGAAATGGTCTTGAAAAGTTCATAAGAAGCTTATAGCCCTTATAATACTCTTCTGTGGGAGACTGATCAGTCACCTCTAGCAAACACATTTTGTCTTATGTGAATAGTGTGTTAATGATGAATTAATGATGAGTACAAATCAATCAATTTCTCTCAAACAACCATAAATTACAAAGATATACATATAAAATACTATATTTGCATATAGTATTTTAAACAGTAAAATCCATAAATGAGTTATTTTCTTCCATATAAAATCTATATTATATATAAAATCTATAATGTATAATATATATAATCTATTATAAAAATATATTAATGAGTTTTTCTTTCTACATAAAATACTATATATTCTATATATAGTATAATATATATATAACTCATTTATAGATTTTACTGTTTGTCCATATGTCAGATTGACAGCCTAAATTTTTCTTTGAAACTTAGATATGCAAGTATTGAAATTAATATAATAATCCATTATAAATAACAAATAAACTTTAATTCCATCAAATCCAAAAAACAGTATCTTGTTTATATAATGTTATTGTAAGCAAAATTTAAATCGGTATGAACACTTTCTATAGAAGCACTAATTTTTAATAATTATATAAATAATGAGGAATTTGTATTATCATCCTATATAAATTATTTTTGGAGTGTAAGAGTCTTTTGGTAAATATTGGAAACACCTTGGGATTAAAAGTTTTTTAAAAAAACCCTCTGTTTTTAATCTTTCTACAGCAATTAAAAGATTACAATTTTGAGTGTGTTACTTTACCATTCTGAACTATAATTCATTCCATAGTACAAGAAATAAATTGTCCCTTTTCAGTTTTAAAATTCCATGAATTAGGTAAAACATATTTCTATTTAAATGAATTCTTTATTGTATTTTTACCTGTCCTTGCATTTCTGTTAAACAAACTAAACTTAAGACTCAAAAATAATCAGAAATGCAGAGAGCAATTTAAATTTAAAATCTCTCTTTTATCCCACTATACGTTGGTTGCCTTCTGTTGTTGAATTATCCATTAAATAGTAGTTATTTATAAAATCGTAGTCTTAGAAAGTTTGCTTGATTATTATATCCTTATTTCATGAAATTCAATAGTAACGAGAAGGATCTATGCTAAGTTAACTATAAAAACACAGCAAAACATCTTATTTCAAGTCATATAAAAGCATTATTTTTTAAGCTGTGACTTTCCAACTAGAAACCATATAAAAAAATAAACAAACCAAGCAAAGCCATTAACTTAGGAATGAATGCCTAGTGCCTAGTCTTCTAAATATTTTAATAGATAATCTAAGTTTGTATATAGTTTAATCTTATAATTTTGAAATTTTTGCCCTTTTACTTAAACAATTCCATCATTGCATATTCTAATCTTATAAATTTTTCATGTATATTACATATCTTGTTCCCTATGATAGGGATGACACTCAGAAAATTTATCCTCAATGCAATAGCAAGTTCAAATAGAATCAATAGATACCTGAGGGAGGGAGAATTTTATTGTGTGTTTATCAGAACAGCATTTATGATTCTTGTTCTATTTCAAAGTCCTTATCTAGGAGAAAATGGGCATTTAATTGGGAAGCAAGGATAATAGGAAGATAAGAAAGAGAAAACAGAGTGGGCTGCATTAGTTAGTAGAGTAAGTGGAAAAATATCTAGTTAATTAAGAATGTTTTCAAATAACCAATAATTGGCTGGGTATAGAAATTTATTTTTTTCAGTTTCTCACTGTATAACAACAATACCTTCAAAATGGAGGACATAGCTACCATTTCTTGCACTGTGTGCTGTTGATCTTATATGCACGTATTTACATAAAAGTATGTATTTGCTTAGTAAAGGGTTTCCTATTTGCCAAAACTGAGAATTTTTAAAAGAAATCATAAAGATCAGAGTAGATATAAGTAAAATTGAAACAAAAAAAAAATACAAAAGCCTGGCAAAAGGAAAAGCTAAATTTTTTTAAAAGATAAAATCAGCAAACTTTTACCTAGACTAAGACATAGCAAAGACTTGAAACCAACCCAAATGCCCCTCAAAGATAGACCGGATAACAGAAATGTGGCACATATATACCATGCAATACTATGCAGCCATATAAAAGGATGAGTTCATGTCCTTTGCAGGGACATGGATGAACCTGGAAACCATCATTCTCACCAAACTTGCACAGGAACAGAAAACCAAACACCATATGTCTCGCTCATAAGTGGGAGATGAACAATGAGAACATGTGGACACAGAGAGGGGAATATCACACATTGGGGCCTGTTGGGAGGTGGGAGGCTACGGTAGGGATAGCATTAGGAGAAATACCTAATGTAGATGACGGGTTGATCACCATGGCATGTGTATACCTATGTAAAAAACCTGCATATTCTGCACACGTACCCCAGAACTTAAAGTATAATAATAATAAAAAAAAGAAATGGAAAAACCTAGAAGAAATTGATAAATTCTTAGACACATACAAGCTACCAAGATTGAACCATGAAGAAATTCAAAATTTCACTAGACCAATAGCAAGTAACAAAATTGATATTGTAACAAAAAGTCTCTTAGTAAAGAAAAGCCCAGGACCCAATGGCTACACTGCTGAATTTTACCAAACATTCAAAGAACTAATACCAGGCTTACTTGAAAACTATTCCAGAAAATAGAAGAGAAAGAGGTACTGTTAAACTCATTCTACAAGGCCAGTATTATCCTGATACCAAAAACACACACCTCAAAAACCAACCAAACAAGCAAATTAAAGGCCAATATTTCCAATGAATATTGTTGCAAGAATCCTCCAAAAACTACTAGCAAACTGAATTCCAGGAGACATTCATCATGACTAAGTGGAATTTATCATAGAATGCAAGAATAGTTCAACATATGCAAATCAACCTGTGATACATTATAATAACAAAATGAAGGACAAAAAACATATGATTGTTTCAATTGATACTGGAAAAGCATGGAATAAAATTCAACATCCTTTCAT
The DNA here is from genome assembly GCF_000001405.40 of Homo sapiens. Lineage (NCBI taxonomy): Eukaryota > Metazoa > Chordata > Mammalia > Primates > Hominidae > Homo > Homo sapiens. Next base: position 86,324,541 of record NC_000003.12, read on the forward strand.
GATAAAAACCCTCAATAAACTGGGAATAGAAGCAACATGCCTCAACACAATAAAACCCATATATGACAGACCCACAACTACTATCACAGTGAATGAAGAAAAGCTGTATGTCTAGCATCTAAGATATGAAACATGACAAGGATGCCACTTTCACCACCATTATTCAATAGTATTGGGAGTTTTAGCTAGAACAATCCAAGTGAAATAAACAAAGGGCATCCAAATTGTAAAGGATGATGGCAAATTATTTTTTGTTCACAGATAATATAATCTTATATTTGTAAAAACCTAAGGACTCCACCAAAACATTATTAGATTTCATAAGCAAATTCAGTAAATTTGCAGGATACAAAATCAACATATGAAAATTGATAACATTTCTATATGCCCACAGCAAACAACCTGGAAATGAAATCAAGAAATTAATTACAATTAAAAACTACAAATAATACAAAATACCTAGAAATCAATGAAGTAAAGGATTACAAAGAAAACTACAAAACCCTGATGTAATAAATTGGAGAAAACACACACACAAAGGAAAAATAATCCATGCACATGGATTAGAATAATCAATATTGTTAAAATGCCCATCCCACCCAAAGCAATCTACAGATCCAGTACATTCCCTATCAAAATAGCAAAGACATTCTTCACAGAAAAGAAATTCCAAGATTTATGTGGAACCACAAAAGAGACAGAATAGTGCAAGCCATCTTGAGTGGAAAAAAAATAAAAGAAAAAAAAACTGGAAGCATCACATTACCTGACTTCAAATTGTACTACAGAGCTATAGTTACCAAAACAGCATAGTAATGGCATAAAAACAGACACCTAGACCAATGGAACAAAAGAGAGATCCCATGAATAAATCCATACATCTACAGTGAACATTTCTGACAAAGATACCAAGAATATACATTGGGCCAAGAATTTATTGAAGAAAGACAGTTTCTTCAATAAATTGTTTTGGGGAACTGGATGTTTATATGCAAAAGCATGAAACTAGAATCCTATCTCTCACTCTATTAAAAATCAAATAAAAACGGATTAAGGACTTAAATCTAAATTTAAGGACTTAAATCTAAAACCTCAAATTTTGAAACTACTAAAAGAGGACATTGAGGAAACTCTGCAGGACATTGGTCTGGGTGAAGATTTCTTGATTATACCCTAGAAGCAAAGGCAACAAAAGCAAAAATGGACAATCACATCACATCAGGCTAAAAAGCTTCTGCACAGAGAGGAAACAATCAAAAAAGTGAAGAGACAACCCAGATAATAGGAGAAAATATTTGCAAACTACCCATCTGAAAAGGGATAAATAACCTGAATATATAAGGAGCTTAAACAACTCAATAAGAAAAAATCTAATAATCTGATTTAAAATGGGCAAAAGATTTAAATACACATTCCTCAAAAGCAAAGAAGACATACAAATAGCAAACAGGCATATGAAAAGGTGCTCAATATCATTGATCATCAGAGAAATGCAAAACAAAACTACAATGGGGTATTATCTCACCCTAAAGTGACCTTTATCCAAAAGACAGGCAACAATGAATGCTAGTGAGGTTGTAGAGAAAGGGGAAACCTCGTACACCATTGGTGGGAATGTAAATTAGTACAGCCACTATGGAGAATAGTATGGAGGTTCCCCAATAAACTAAAAATAGATCTACCATATGAGCCAGAAATTCCACTCAGCATATCCAAGAGATAACTGCACTTACGTTTTTATTGCAGCGTTGTTTACGATAGCTAAGATTTGGAAGCAATCTAAGTGTCCATTAACAGATGAATGGATAAAAAAAAATGTGGTACATATACACAGTGGAGAACTTTTCAGCCATTAAAAGAATGAAATTCAGTCATTTACAATAACATGGATGGAACTGGAGATCATTATGTAAGGCACAGTAAGCAAGGCACAGAAAAACACATTTTGCACGTTCTCATTCATTTGTTGTATCTAAAACTTTAAACAGTTTAACTCATGGAGATAGAGAGTAGAATGATGGTTACCAGAGGCTGAGGAGGGTAGTGAGATGCAGGGGATGTAGAGATGGTTAATAACTACAAAAAATAGTTAGAATGAATAGGATCTACTATTTGATAGCATAACAGGGAGGTTACAGTCAACCATCATTTATTATACATGTAAAAATAATGTAAAACCCGTAAAGGAATGCTCTTAACACAAAGAAATGATAATGTTTGAGGCAATCCATACCCCATCAACCCTGCTGTGATTATTATGCATTATATGCTTGTATCAAAATATCTCATGTACCTCATAAATATATGCACCTACTATGTACCCATAAAAGTTAAAAATTTTAAAAATACTAGGAATTTTGCCAGGTTACCTCTAGTCTTCAGATTAACATAACAAAGTAAATAATTTTACTACCATTCTGAAATGAGGAAACAAAAGTTTTTGAAGTCATATGTCTAGGGACATTTGGCCATTTTGCCTGACTTTTTATCTACACTTTCAGAAGAGTGAATTGGTTGAATTCATTGCACTTTCTTTTTATCTTCAGAATTCAAGTCATTTGCTTTTCTTCTTATCATGTTACTGAAAATTAGCAAGGTGCCCAGGTCTGCAAAATTCCTAGGATGCTATAAGAACATCAGAAGGCATCAAGGAACAAATCAAATTTGATCATGTCTCCTTGGGTTCCTAATTTTTCAATAGATTATAAATTCCTTGGGAGTAGAGAATGCGTTCCTCACTTTGTTGCATAACTATAGCACCTTGTCCAGAGTAACTGTTTAGGAAAAAAAAAATAAAAAAAACTGTTGATGATTGATTGTTTGTAGCCATAGTTGTTTACCAGAGGCTTATATAACTTCTTTAGCTTCTTACTTCTGTTCTTTAAAGCAGAGAATTTTGCCCTTTTTTTTGCTTCCTGTTGACATCTCAGAAAGGATTCACCTGTGTGTCACTTCCCGTGGCCATTTCTGATAGTGGTAACCAATTCTATTTTTCCTACTCCTGAAAGCATATTAGACTGTCAGTAAGATAGACTGACATTTTTATACCAATTAACTCAGAACTATTTCCATTGATATTTTCTGTATTATTTTCATTTTTATAACTGTAACAAATTACCTCTGACTCACCTCATAGTGACTGAAGGTCCTGCGGTCTAGGCCAATGGTTGAGCACCATGTGTCCGAAAGTTTGGGTTTAATGCCAGTGGGAATCCGTTAACTTCAATGATGGTGTGGCTTCATCCCCATATTCCTACAATCCAAAGGTGGGGGTTTCTTTACAATTTTCCCGCAAAATTGAAGACCTCTCTTGAGAATTGTGTTTCTGTATCTAAACCATGAATGAGTCCCTGCTATTTATTTCCACAAATGTTAATGCTGTTACTTATATCTTTCTTTCTGCGTTTTGCCTTTTCGGCTCTTAGACTCTACATAGGTATACCTTTCTAACCTTCTGAGATATCCTTTTTATGTTGGACTTAATTAATGTTGTCTGTTCACATTTCAAAAATGCAAACTCATTTCATTCTTCAGAAGCCATAACTACTTAGGTTTCTTAACCTACAGGTTTGTGTCTCTTCCACATCTAACTCCCCAGCCCCCACACACATTCCTGCCTCTCTCTCTCTCTCTCCCTCTTCTATTCCCATTTGTGATGTGGTATATAAGTTATGACTGTATTTTCTAGTCTTATCTTGACCTCTTACTTCTCAAATTTTGGGGAAAAAGCAACCTAAAGTACACCTTCAGTAATAAGATTATTACGGTGATCATGGTGTATATATCAGAATTTTTTGCCACAATATAACAGAATATTTTCTAAATGTATGCTTTTTACAGTACATTAGGAAATTATTTTTTAAAGAGATAGAGATATCTTTAGTGTATTTTTTTTTGGTGGTAAGAAGGAACAAACACTGTTTTGCAAAATTATATTTCAGAGCACAAATTAAAGATTTATTCCATGGACAAATAAACCACCTGCCCCTGCATACTTTATGGGAATGTTTTACATTTTCCAATTCCTTATTTTACACACTCATTAATAACACAGAACATGTGCAGTTTGCATTAAGCATTTTCATAAGCATGAAATATTCAGTTTCTGCAGTGTTGAGTCAACATACCCAATATAATTATGAACACCAACCTCTGCAAGAAGTTCAGATATGAGTATGTGTGTATGTGTGCTTATGTATATATACTTATTTATATAAATACGTATACATACATATATATAAATATTACGCACATTATGAAAGCCATATACTTTTTCATTGTTTCTTTTGTTGTTATCGCAATGTCTATTGTTTAAAAGGTGAAAAGTTAGGAAATGGTGCTAAATTTTGAAAATCATTGCTTTCTTTTTTATATAACACTATGCTGAATATTAATGATGATTATTCACAAATCTCATTTTTATTAATATTCTGAAATTTATTATAAAATACCTTTTGGATAATTTCAAAGCATGGCATGTTCTCTATAGTTTAACTTGGTTTTTAACCTTTAAAATGCACCTGTATCATTAGGTTGGTCAAGTGTTCTTTGAAATTACACTTTTGGTTTTTACTTTAGACGGCTATTTGTAAATAACAAATAGAGAAGAATTATGCATACAAATATATTACCAGATAAAATAAATACGCCAAATATAATTGAGGCAATTCTGTCTCTATTCAGTCTCTGCTGTTTGAACACAATAACTCAGTGAGATTTCACCCCCAATTACTCTTCAACAGTTTTCTGTGAATGAGATGCTTTTTGAAATCGTTATAAAGAAACAAGCACATAATGAGCCGCAACTCCCTATAAAAACCTGGCCAGAATGCTACAAAAAAATTTTTGTCAAACTATTGATATTTTAACAAGGGTATGTTAGGACTTTCATTTTCAAGGATTTTTAGTAAATAAATATAAGGACTTCAATTAAGGATAATTTTTACTTTTGTTTATAACGGCTAGTTAATACTCTTAAGTTTGATGTGAAAGGCTTCATCAGTACTGTCCTTGTCATTGTAATGCACCTACTTCCTGGCCCTACCACAAAACTTCCATGAATGTGATGTCTGTTTGGTTGCCTCCCTTAGAGTGGTTGGCAGTCAACCTCTAAGATATCTGTAAAAAATATTTGACATTAGTCTGGAAAGTTTCTGCTGTCAAAAGCAGTGGGAGCATATTGGATGTGCTACACTGTCCAATGATATGTCTTTTAAAAGTATTTTAACATATCACAAATGAGTTTCACTGCAACTTTTTTTTTTTTTTTTGAGACGGAGTCTTGCTCTGTCGCGCAGGCTGGAGTGCAGTGGCCCGATCTCGGCTCACTGCAACCTCCGTCTCCTGGATTCACGCCATTCTCCTGCCTCAGCCTCCTGAGTAGCTGGGACTACAGGCGCCCGCCACCACGCCCGGCTAATTTTTTGTATTTTTAGTAGAGACGGGGTTTCACCATGTTAGCCAGGATAGTCTCTATCTCCTGACCTCATGATCTGCCTGCCTCGGCCTCCCAAAGTGCTGGGATTACAGGGGTGAGCCACTGTGCCCAGCCCTATATATATATATACATACACATATATATATATATATATATACACACACACACACATATATATATACACATACATATGTATATATACACATACATATATATATATATACTTTAAGTTCTAGGGTACATGTGCACAACCTGCAGGTTTGTTACATATGTATACATGTGCCATGTTGGTGTGCTGCACCCATTAACTCGTCATTTACATTAGGTATATCTCCTAATACTATCCCTCCCCGCTACCCCCACCCCACAACAGGCCCCAGTGTGTGATGTTCCCCTTCCTGTGTCCAAGTGTTCTCATTGTTCAATTCCCACCTATGAGTGAGAACATGCGGTGTTTGGTTTTTTGTCCTTGCAATAGTTTGCTGAGAATGATAGTTTCCAGCTTCAACTGATGAGTTCACTGCTACTTTTGACAGTGGTTTAATTTTTAGTAAAAGTACCACTAAAGGTGTTTGTTTTTCAAACTCAGATTTGTCTAATCTATTTCTCTTTTTCAATTTGTTTCAATAATCTGTTTCATTTTAATGTCCAATTTTCATTAATATTTTAACTGAAATATGTGTGTCCTTATGTGTGTGTATGCATATGTGAATATATATTTATAATATTGAGCTCAAAAACTAAGTATGTCCTAATTCATCAGAATCCAAAACTAAATGTCAAAAGATTAATCTCTACAGAATATGCAACATAAAATATTTATATGCTGTGTGAGTATATGAAAATACAAAGTGTTTTAGAAGTCAAAGTTTTCCTTAATAAAATATCTCTAAGAGATACATACCAAAAAATTAACATTTGAACAAAGTGAACATAGCACCCAATTGCAGCCAAATCAGTAGGAGAAACATTTCTTGGAAAAACAGTAATACTTCCTTCCATCAGTGAGTACAGGGCTAAGCAGACGGGGAACTGAATACCTGGTTAATAGATAAGGAGGATGGTGGCAGAGGTGACTGAGGTTTCAGTGGAAGATGGTGGAATATGATGAAATGTTTCAAATGAAAATTTGGATAGTATAGATTTTAAAATAGGGACTGCCGTCTCTGGTCATAATGGAGCAGCTTGTCTTAGACTAGCTCTACGCCTGAAAATAACTTTAAAACTAAACAAAATGCGTAAAATAATTTTTAGAGTTGCACATCAGGAAGGACTGTGGCTCTTGAGAGGCAGAAGTAGAGAGTTAAGCACGTCTTAGACGCATTTTCTTAACTGCAGCAAAGGCAGGGGATTGCAGTGAATAGAGGTCTCACTGAGCTGACAAGACGGAAATTAAGAGTTCAGAGTCACTCTAACTCTGTGGATGGAAATGTAGGGCAGAACACCTCATAGATAAGAATTACGCAGAGAAGGAGCTCCAGAAATCTTCATGATACTGTAAAATTTTTTGCTAAAAACTGAAGGGTACATTCAAAGCTCAAGGCATTGTGCTGGCAAAGTACAACTACTGGGAAAAAAATAACTGCTAGCTTTCTGTGATCTTAACAGTTACGGAACCTCATCCAGCACTAGAAAAAGTATGATTTCTGACCTGTCCTACTGAATAAACCTCATTGAAATCACCAGGCATTCAGGAAAGAACCTAGAAAGAAATATTTTGGTAGGCCTGATCTGATCCCCAAATGGCAACACTAGATCTGCTGTAACACAGCTAAAATAAAAGAACCCCCCCCAAAAAAAATTGCTTCTTTACCAAAGTAACTGGTGTCCAGAACAAAACTAAATACTGTATTAACTAAAGAAAACACAATTCCATCTCAACAATGTTAAGTCCATAATTTGCAGCATACAGTAAAGAATAAAATTTTACTAAGTATGCCGATAAGCAGGAAAATGTGCCTCGTTACCAGGTGTAAGAACAGGCCAATAAAAGCAGACTAGGAAACAACAAAAATAATAAATTTAGCAAAAGCATTGAGTTTAAAAGAACTATTAGACATATCTTCAAAAATTTAAAATAAAACTTTAATATAATGAATGAGCAAATAGGAAGGTTTAGATCTGTTATTAGAACCAACAAGAAAGAACTAAATGGCAATTCCAGAAATGTATAAAGCAATGACAAACAAAATCTCACTGAATATTGTAACAGCATATTAGGCTTTTCAAAATTCCGACTACCAAAGTGAGTTTTGTAAATCTTGCAATAAAAGTTACCCAAACTGTAGCGCGCGCACACACACACACACACACACACACACACACACAAGCTGAAAAAGAAAATTAGTTTAGGTTTACTACTTAGATATTAAATACAAAAAGATATAAATCATACCCTCACAAAACCATGAACGAATCAGTTGCCAAAATAATTATCAGCAGCTACACCACCGATTTCAGGAGATCTTTGTATGAAGGCAAACAAAGCAAGGTCCTACCAAACATACTATTACACTGAAGAAAATAAGGCAGACTAGAGTCTGATTCCTTTGGTTCAAATCCCAGCACAGACAGTTACCAATGGTGTAACTTTGGGCTAGTTATTTATACCTCTCTTAGCCCCAATTTATCATCTGTAGATTGGGAATAATAATGGTATCTATTTAGCCAGTTTCCTGAGTCAGGAGTATGAGAGTGGGTTCACTTGGTTATCTGCTCAGGGTCTTATAAGGCAGAAAAAAGCATGATAGCCATATTGCATTTTCATTTGGAGTTTGGGGTTCTCTTCCAAAATCTTTGGGGTAATTGACAGATTTTTTTGAAGTTGTAGTTACAGAGATCTCTGTTTTGCCAGTTGGCTGCTCAGCTACAGGTCAGTGTCAGCTTCTAAGGGCCTGTGGCTCATAGGCCTACTCAAAACCTGATGGTTTACTTCTCCTTTCATACCAGGAGGATAATTTCTCTGATGCTTTCTCTTCCTTTAAGAGCTCACCTGATTAGGTCATGCCTACCAAGGCAATTTTTCTTTTGATTCACTTAAACCTAACTGATTAGTAAGCTAATCATGGGAGTGATATCAAATCTTATTCAATGGTCATACTCCAGTCAAGGGGAGGGTTTACTAAGGGTCATCTTAGAATCGTGGCTACCACATTTAGACATGTTGGGAAGAGAGAAGAGCTGAATAGTTGATCATCTTAGCTTTCCAAATTACCTTTCTCTTCTCTACATTTTTATGATATATTCAAATAACATGGCAAGTTACAGGTCCAGCAATCTATTTTTATCTGACATGGTATTATTTCTCTCTAAGAAAACAAACTCACAAACAAACAAAACCCCCCACAAAATCAATAGGCAATAAACAAAGCAAACTGGGGGCCATTATTCTAAGTAAAATAATGCAGGAATAAAAAATCAAATACCACATGTTCTCACTTATAAGAGGGAGCTAAACATTGGATAATCCTGGACATAAAGATGGCGACAATAGACCCTGGGGATTACTAGAGGGGTGAAAAAGAAAGAGAGGGAAGGTTTGAAAAACTATTGGGTGCTATGCTCACTACCTGGGTGATGAAATCATCCATACCCCAAAGCTCAGCATCACACAGCATACAAACCTGCACGCGTGTGACAAACCTGCACACGTACCCCCGAATCTAAAATAAAGTTTAATTTATTTAAAAAAATACACACACACAAAGCAAACCAAATAAATTCTTGTGATATTTTCAGCCTCTAAATACAACTAATACATTCTAAGTAGAAATCTGCATCTCCATTCACAATGTTCTAATTTGAGTTCATCTTAGAAAGTCTATCACACACACACCGCCTCCTTCACATCTCTCTTGACTTCTCCATCCGCAGATAAATTAAAGACAGAGACATACAAAGGCAAGTTCTTCAAAACCTGGTGTAATTATCTTACTTTCATAACAGACTTGCATAACCTTCTGATTATGCTAACATCTCCGTTCCCTATCAAACTCACAATTGAGCTTTTGAACTTTTAATTTGTAAGTATATTGTGAGCACAGATATTTTTGTCTATTAATATATTTACTCTTGAAAATATTATAATTTTTCACATTAGGCTATATTTTGTGGTTGGCCTAATTCATTTTGTTTGGTCAGTTTTTAACCTTTTTCTTGTGTTGTTACTCCTATATCTTGATGTGGAAAAAAGAAAAATCCAATACATTTATATGTTTATGTTCATAGTTATTGCACACATTTTTAACAGGTCTTGGAGCACCACAGTTGGGAAAATACCATAACACTACTGGGCTATTTTATGAAGCAATAATCTTATTGCTTACAAGTGAATTCGATTACAGTCTTACAAAACTACAGAAGAAATGCTATTACCTTACAAACATTTTTTGGTTGATCTTTTATTTATTTTTAAATTATGTCCAGTAAATATATAGTTATAAATCAAAGCTCTTCAGGTGCAGTCTAACTGAAAATGAAATTAAAAGTCATAAAATGAAAATACCCGCTGATCTGTGTGTCTTGAAATTTCCCCAAATTACTACTATTGAACTTTATTTGACTGACATAGAATATATGTGTGCCTCCTTGTTATTAAATGATATTTTATGAAAAGTCTGTAATATAAATACTAAATTTAAAACATCAAATCATCAATGATATATTTAGCTAATGTTTCTAAAGTGATAATTTTATTTCTTGAATCATTGTTTTATACCTTCAACCTTTTGTATGGTCAAGGATGCTTTAATTTTAGGGTACATAAGTCAATGTCATTGGATCTCAAGCTTCTTTTCTCTATCTTTAATTTAAATCTCATCTGATTAAGAAACAAAAACAAACAAAAAGCCAAACTGATAGGAATTGAATACTTGTTACTTGCAATGAACTAACTATAGCATGCAATCTTTCCAATTAGGTATAGTATAGATGCAGAACACATAAGTGGGCAATAGCTGTTTTGTTTTGCTTTTGGAAACATTCTTCTCCAAAGAGTATTTATATGATTAAACATATCAAACATTATTAATTTAATTAGATATCATTAGGGATCAAATAGATAGGAATTCTAGATTTCTTTCTAATTCAGGAGATTTATAATGTAAAAAATAATAATTTTGAGATCCTTCTAGCATAATACTTTTTAGATGCTCTTTGATTTAAAAACTGCAACATAGTTTTTATTTTTCTTTTAAATAACCTCCCTTACTGAAATCAACTTTTAATATTTTATTTTCTATTTACCACTTATAGACATTTTCATAATAGCCCGTGGCTTCCTGCATCTTTCTACCTAACCGCATTCTCTAGCTGCATAATCATCTTCAGCTGTGCTGAGCAGAGAACTTGGTGGTCTAGAATAGGAGTTGGCGTACTGTGGCTCTCAGGCCAACTTGAGCTTACAACCTGTTTTCGTAAATAAGGTTTTATTGAAACACAGACACAGTTATCTGCTAACATATCATCTATAGATGCCTTCATGTTACAAGGGTTGTGCTGTTGTGACAGACATCCTATGTCGTGCAAAGTCTAAAATATTTACTATCTGGTCCTTCACAGAAAAATTCTGCTGACCACTAATCTAGAAGCTTAACTTATCCATACAGAAACAATACATAAATTCTTTATTCCACACCACAGGGAGAACCTTTTAAAGTGTTTTCTGCACAGACTCTCATAGTAACCCCAATAGTATTTATTCCCTTTTGTCCATAAAGTTTACTAGCTCGGTAACACATCATTATTGGCTTTCCTTTTTCCTTTGCATCATGCTTTTATTATTTATTTTATTTTATTTTATTTTATTTTATTTTATTTTATTTTATTTTATTTTATTTTATTTTATTTTATTTTATTTTATTTTATTTTATTTTATTTTGAGACAAAGTTTCGCTCTTGTTGCCTGGCCTAGAGTGCAATGGCGCAATCTTGGCTCATTGCAACCTCTGCCTCCGAGGTTCAAGCGATTCTCCTGCCTCAGCCTCCCGAGTAGCTGGGATTACAGGCATGCACCACCATGCCCGTCTAATTTTGTATTTTTAGTAGAGATGGGGTTTCTCCATGTTGGTCAGGCTGATCTCGAATCCCAACCTCGGGTGATCCGCCCTCCTCGGACTCCCAAAGTGCTGGGATTATAGGCATGAGCCACCGCGCCCAGCCAGCATCATGCTTTTAAAACCTCACCCAGCTTCTAGGATCATCTCCCAAATAAACTTGCTTTTGAATGCATATTTTGGCCTCAGAATGTGATTGTGGAGAACTCAAACTTATACATCTTCTATTCAATATTTTTTGTCTGTTCAACTATTGCTTAGATTAGCTGAGTTTTTAAATGATAAGGTTTTATGGAATATTCATTCATCTTTCACTGCAGACATCCTTTACCAGACCATAAGATGTGGGTAAAACTGTGAGATATCTAAGGATTGTAATTCTTTTTCTTTTTTGGTATATTTCGTGCTCATATTAGGAATTATTTTATGTTGGAATTTTACTGTGTATCTTATGAGAACAAAATATTCATCAGTTCTTTTCTACTCTTAAGATACACAGCATATCCATAGTCAACCAGTATAAATTAAATCATTATACAGTGCTGTGGGGAATATTGAATAGTCCTACTCTTGGGACAAAAGACTAAAGATGGAGAATCTATGACTCCTTGCTCTTGTTTTAAATAATATATCTTGTTTTAAATAATATATCAGTTTGAAATAATAAGCATATATCGCTTGAGAAAGTCTGAAAGACCAGCAACATCATTACTAGTTTAAATGTACACTCTTTTGCCACAAAGCATGCTAAGATTTTAGGACTATCGTGATCCAACTTGCTGTCACCTGGGTTATATAACCACAATGAGAGCTGTAAAAGATGGCCTTTTGGGGAAAAGGTAAGCACATAACATGGGCACAATCTATATCAGCTAATATGTATAGAAAGGGCTTGGAATCTGCAAACCCAGAATATTAAGAGACAGTCTAATCAATAAAACTAGACTATCAGCATTAGAGAGCTCAGATCTTCTCTATGTCTAAACATAAAATGGAAGAGCGAGGAGAAGCTACTTATGTAGAATCAATTTCACTGGGATTATGGGGTTAAAATAAGGTGCCATGTCTTTATAAAGCCAAGTTTGGAGACAAAGCGAAATTTCAGTGATAACGTGCAGTGGTTATGGTTGAATTTTTAAAGTAGAAATAGCAGTTATATCATAAGTGGTAGTATCCTTTCACAAAGCATGAATCTGGAAAACAATTCTGCCATAGTTTCCATTTTATTTATTTACTTTTTCTTTATTCTAGTACTCTAGAATATTTTAAGGCCTGGGAAATTTGGGGGGTTTATAGTACATGTTCCCCATTTTGTTCCGTGTGACTTGATTGTAGTTACTACTTTGGAATCTAACACCTGATCACAGTGAAGTATCTAAGAACTTTTGAAATGTACAGTTAGTACTAAACAATCAAGGGATCTTGAAGAGAATGGGATGTTCTAAAATTCAGCTTGATTTTTATCCTTAGCACACCCCCACATGTAATAGCATCTGCAAGACTCCCTTCTCTGTGTCATATCTGTCATCTGAATTCTCAAATCATGTAGCCTTTGATTAAAAAAAAAAAGCTTTTTTTTTCTTTCTTTTCTTTTTTTTTTTTTTTAGATATACTACTATAGATATGCAGTCTCCCACTCTGATGGCTTTCAAAGTTGAGACCATCAGGAAATTTCCTTACTGCCTTCCTGCCAGAAATACCTTTCTATGTTACAATCACCTTCAATCTTTCATTTTAAAAAAGAAAAAAAATATAGCACCTAGATCATGTCATAATATATTACAACTTGCTGGCACTCCACTTCTGTTGATCTTGTCAGTCTCTTTTGCTGACTTCCTGGCAGATGTCTCATTTTTGCTCTAAGCTACTTGAAATAGGGTAGTTCATTTTCAAGATGTTTTAGATTTCACATCATTTTATCAGAAGATATTTCTTATAAATGGTGTGCATATCAAAAAATCGGTTTTGTCACTTTCATCTTATGTTATTTAATACTCTCTGTAGTAAATAGCCCAAGTAATGGAAAGTTTTGAACAATAAATTCTGTATTTGACCTTTTGGAAAGTAAGATTTTATTTCCCTTGGAATCATTATTTTCCACCTGCCTATATTTTGAGTTAGTTATTCATACAACTGTGAACACAATAATCTCGCCCATAAATCCCTCTTTGGAAGTAATTAGCAAATGCTTATTATGTTAAAATCTATAAATTTACATATTCATCTTATCTTTCCCCAAACTCTAAATTATTTAACTGAGATAAAAACCTTCCATAGGTATTTTACATAGTGTTTAAGTGATAAATTTAGGTTAAAATTTTATACTTTGTTGCAATTTGCTATATATTTATCAAGTTATTTATAATTTATTAATTTGTTTAAATATCCCAATTAGGATGAGCTATGTTGCTAAATTTTTACTTGATTTTCAGTAATACTATATTAGTACAACCTGCAAAAAATATGCAAATAAATAAGATACATTGGAATTGAGTCGTGCAAATAAATAAAAGACACAGGAATTTGTATAAAAATCTATTGTCCAGTTTGTACAAATATTTTGTGCTTTTTAAACTTGTCCTCTATTTTTTTTTCCTGGCACATAACTTAAATATTTTCACTGCAAAAGAATGATAAGCAAATGAGATGTTAGACTAGTCAACTAGCATGACTTAATTATTCCACATTGTAAACATAAAAAATATATAATATATTAAAATATATAAATCCAATAAATATATATAATTACTATTTTTCCATTAAAAATACAATTTGAAATTTTTTTAAAAAATTGTAAGGACTGTGGTTTAAGAATATATAACTGAAGTCAGAAGGCTTTAAGTTACAGCGCACATGTTTTTGGACAAATTTTTATGCTAGTCAGTCTTCCCTACCCTTCATTAGAATATAGCACTTCTTTATGAGTTTGAGAAATTCTCTACATTCCCCTCTCCAACCACCACCAGTTTTAGTTCTGTTTGAGTCTGTCATTTTCTTCTGGCTATTATTGATTCATCTGGAGTGGGCACCTAAACCAACGTGAACCAATCACAGTATTTTTTCATTATTATATAAACTAGAAATCAGAAATAGGATCCTTACAATCCTTTTTAGTTGAGGCAGTTTTGATACTCAGGAAATGTTGTTGGCCATATTTGTTCTATCAAGTGGAGAAAATAAGGGACCATAAGAACAAATTTGATTTTTATGTAGAAAGAAGCAAAGATGCAGTAAGCAGAGAGAGAGAGAGACAGAGACAGAGACAGAGACAGAGACAGAAACAAAGAGACAGAGAGTGTGAAGTGTGTGTTGGAAAGAGGATTCACCTAAATCTGGACCCTGATATGAAAGGTACACAAACCTATGGGGTTACTGGCTATCCTTTTATGGGTTATAGTTTGCCAGATGATAAAATTCTACCCTTTGCCGAATTATAGGCTTTTTCCCAATTCAAATGAATCGCTGGCTTAAGCTCTTCTCACTCTGTTTTTTTAACATACAGGATGCAAAAGTGTAGCAAAAGATAGTTTGAGTGGCAGAAATCAAGCTTCAGTTGCTTTCCTTTTCTTAATGAGCTGCAGTTATGGCTCTAGTTTGAGGCCCCTTTGCTGCATACATGGTAAACAAACAAACAAATAAACAAACACACTTTGCCACATAATGACTCCTAGGACCTAGCCTCTGTTTCTTGTTTAGTGAATGGTGTCTTTGATAATGATCTATCTTACAAGCAAAATCCAAAATTATTAGTCCAGGAACACTGAAAGAGGCTGCTGCTAAAACAAGCTTCTCAAAGGTCTGGACTATCATTTGAACATACTATTTTTCTCTCTTCTGTTGACTTGTTAGTGGTACCATTAGTGTGGCAGGTTTTTGTTGTTGTTGCTGTTGTTTTCTTAGGAGGAGGGAGGTGTATTGTTAGCAACCCCCATGGAAAATATAAACAAAGAAAAGAAGATAGCTAATGGCTGGGATTGACACTTGGTACGGATCAACAGCAGAAAGAACCAGCGCAGGCAGATAGGGTAATGTTTTAAGTTCAGCCTTTTGGGAGTTATATACTCCCGGTGCAAGCAGCAGTTTGAGAAACCTGTGTACCCCAGCTGTGAACCAACTTACCCCCAGAGGGCACCCAGAAATAGACAGAAGATTTACCCAGCTGGGATGTGTCATGTTTTATCTTTATAATAAAAGTAGTACAGATGTACTTTTTGGGCCATAAAGAGGCTTTCATACACAGCAGAACTGAACTTTTGGCACACATTTGCGCTGAAAATCAATGCATCTGCCATTGGAAAAAAAAAAAAAACTTAAAAAGAACATAACGTCTTTGGCAGTAAAAGATAGAAGATGAGAATTACCTAAAAGATAATTTAATAGGTATGCATCATTCTAAATATGTTTATAAAAGTTCATTTTATTTCTTTTTGAAAAACAATTTAATTTTTTGGTACAGAGTAGATGTATATATTTATGGGATACAGGCATGCAATGCATAATAATCACATCAAAGAAAATTGGGAATCGATTTCTTCAAGCATTTATCCTTTGTGTCACAAATGATCCAATTGTAATCTTTTAGTTATTTCAAAATGTATAATTAAATAATTATGGACTATAGTCCCCCTGTTGTGTTACCAAATTCATTCTATTTTTTTGTATCTATTAACCATCCCCACCTTCTGCCTCCCCACCCCACTACCCTTCCCAGCCTGTGGTAACAATCCTTCTATTCTCTAGCTCCATGACTTCAATTGTTTTGATTTTTAAATTCCACAAATAACTGAGAACATATGATTTTTATTTTTCTGTCCCTGGCTTATTTCACTTAATATAATGACCTCCATTTCTATCCATGTTGTTGCAAATGACAGAATCTCATTTTTTTTTTATAGCGGAATAGTTCTCCACTGTGTGTGTGTGTGTGTGTGTGTGTATATACCACATTTTATTTATCCATTCATCTGTTGATGGACACCTAGGTTTCTTCCAGATCTTAGCTATTGTAAACAGTGCTGCAACAAACATGGGAGTGTGGATATCTCTTAAATATACTGATTTTCTTTCTTTTGGATATAGACCTAGCAGTGGGATTGCTGGCTCCTATGGTAGCTCTATTTTTAGTGAATTGAGAAACCTCCAAACTGTTCTCTGTACTGGTTCTACTAATTTGCATTCCTATCAACAGTACACCAGGGCTTCCTTTTCTCCACATCCTTAGCAGCACTTGTTATAGCTTGATATTTTGATAAAAGCCATTTTAACTGGGCTGAGATGATATCTCATTGTAGTTTTCATTTACATTTCTCTGATGACCAGTGATATTGAGCACGGGTTCATATGCCTGTTTGTCATTTGTATGTCTTCTTTTGAGAAATGTCTATTCAAATGCTTTGCCCATTTTAAAATTATTCCTATTGGGTTGTTTGAGCTTCTTATATATTCTGGTTATGAATTCCATATCAGATGGGTAGTTTGCAAATATTTCTCCCATTCTGTGGGTTGTGTCTTCACTTTGCTGATTGCATCCTTTGCTGTACAAGAGCTTTTTAACTTGACGTGATCCCATTTGTCCATTTTTGCTTAGGTTGCTTGAGCTTGTGGGTATTGTTCAATAAATGTTTGCCTAGATTAATGTTATGGAAAGTTTCCCCAATGTTTTCTTAAAGTAATTTCATAGTTTGAGCTCTTATATTTAAGTCTAATCCATTTGTATTTGATTTTTGTGTATGGCAAGAAATAAGGATATAGTGTCATGCTTCTGCATGTAGATGTCCAGTTTTCTAGCACTATTTTTGAAGAGACTGTCTTTTCCCTAATGTATGTTCTTGTCACCTTTGTCAAAAATAAGTTCATTGTAGGCATGTGGATTTGTTTCTAGCTTCTCTATTCTGCACCATTTGTCCATGTGTTTGTTTTTATGCCAGTACATGCTATTTTGGGTACTGTAGCTCTGTAATATAATTTGAAGACAGATAATAATTATTTCAGTTTTATTCTTTTCAGTCAGGATAGCTTTGTCTTTCCTGGATCTTATGTGGTTCCATAAAAATTTTAGACTTGTTTTTTCTATTTCTGAGAAGAATGCTATTGGTGTTTTGATAGGAATTGCATTGTGCTTTGGGTAGTATGGACATTTTAACAATATTGATTCTTCCAATCCATGAACATAAAATATCTTTTCATCTTTTGATGTCTTCTTCAATTTCTTGCATTGATATTTTATAGTTTTCATTGTAGATATATTTCACTTCTTTGGTTAATTTCTAGGTATTTAGTTTTGTGTCTGTTGTGAATGGGACTACTGTTTTGTAAAAAGAAGCTTTTCTTCTATTTTGATGTGGGCATTTATAGCTATAAATTTCCCTCAGTACTGTTTTTGCTGTATCCCATAGGTTTTGGTATGTTGTGTTTCCATTATCATTTGTGTCAGAGAATTTTTCAGTTTCCTGCTTAATTACTTCATTAACCCATTGGTCTTTCAGGAGCATATTGTTTAATTTTCATATGTTTGTATAGTTTTCAAAATTTCTCTTGTTGTTGATTTCTACTTTTATTCCATTGTGTTCAGATAAAATGGTTGGTAGGTTGTCATTTTTTTTGAAATTGTTAAGATTTGTTTTGTGACTAACATATACAATATCCTTCAGAATGATTTATGTACTGAAGAGAAAATGTGTACTCTGCTGCTGTTGGGTAAAATGTTGTGTAGATATCTATTAGATCCATTTGTTCTATGGTTCAGATTAAGTCTGATTTTTTTTGTTGAGTTTCTGTCTGAGAGAGCTGTCCAATGCTGAAAGTAGAGTGTTGAAGTCTCCAGTTATTATTGTATTGAGGTTTATCTCTCTCTTTAGTTCTAATAATATTTGCTTTATATACCTGAGTGTTCCAGTGTTGGGTGGATATACATTTATAAGCATTATATCCTCTTGCTAAACTGATCCCTTTATCAGTATGTAATGACCTTCTTTGGCTCTTCTTACAATTTTTGCCTTGAAAACCATTTTGTCTGATATAAGCATAGCTACTCCTGCTCTTTTTTGGTTTCCATTGGTATGGAATACATTTTTCCATCTCTTTATTTTCAGTCTGTGTCTGTCCTTGTAGGTTAAGTGTGTTTCTTGGAAGCCAAAGATCATTGCATCTTGTTTTTTCATACACTCAGTCACTTTATGTCATTTGTTTGGAGAGTTTAGTCCATTTACATTCAATGTTGCTATTGATAAGTAGAGATGTACTCCTGTCCTGTTATTTGTTTTCTGATTGTTTTGCACTCTTCTCTTCTTTCTTTCCTTTTTTTCCTTTTAGTGAAGGTAATACTTTAATACTTTTTTTTTTGGTGGTATGCTTTAATTTCTTGCTTTTTATTTTTTGTATATCTATTGTAAGATTTTTGGTTTGAGATTACCATGAGGCTTGCAAATAGTGTCTTATAACCCATTATATTAAACTGATGACAATTTAACACTGATTCCATATAGAAACACACAGAAAGATAACTAACAATAACTCTACACTTTATCTTTGTCACTTCACTTTTCAACTTTTTGTTGTTTATCTTTATGTGCTATTGTACTATCTAGTCCTTGAAATGTTGTCGTAGTTATTACTCTTAGTAATAACTAGTATAGTTAGTAATAACTAGACAATGATTAGTATTGTCTTAAGTCTTTCTACTTAAGATAATGTTATTTTATATACCACCATTACAGTGTTATAATATCCTGTTTTTCTGTGTGCTTACTATTACCAGTGAGTTTTGTACCTTCAGATTATCTCTTATTACTCATTGATGTCTTTTTCTTTCAGATTGAAAAATTGGCCTTGAAAAACAGGCATGGTGGCTCACGCCTGTAATCCCAGCATTTTGGGAGGCTGAGGCGAGTGGATCACCTGAGGTTGGGAGTTCGAGACCAGCCTGACCAACGTGGAGAAACCCCGTCTCTACTAAAAATACAAAAAAAATTAGCTGGGTGTGGTGGTGCATGCCTATAATCCCAGCTACTCAAGAGGCTGAGGCAAGAGAATCGCTTGAACCCGGAAGGCGGAGGTTGCAGTGTCCTCAGATCGCGCCATTGCACTCCAGCCTGGGCAACAAGAACGAAACTCCGTCTTAAAAAGAAAAGAAAAGAAAAGAAAAGAAAAAAGAAAAGAAAAACTCCTTTTAGCATTTCTTGTAGGATAGGTTTGGTGTCCTACAAGATGTAGAAAAAAAGATCTTTTTATTTGTCTGGGAAGGTCTTTATTTCTTCTTCATGATTGAAGGATATTTTCACCAGATTTACTATTCTGGGATAAAAGCAATTTTTCAGCACTTTAAATATGACATGCCATTCTCTCCTGTCCTGTAAGATGTACTGATAAGACTTTTGCCAGATGTGTTGAAACCCCCATTGTATAGTATCTGTTTCTTTTCTCCTGCTTCCTGAGTCTCACTCTGTCTCCCAGGCTGGAGTGCAGCAGAGTGATCTTGGCTCACTGCAACCTCCATCTCCCTCGTTTAAGTGATTCTCATGCCTCAGCCTCCAGAGTACCTGGGATTGCAGGTGTGTGTCACCATGCCCTGCTAATTTTTTTTTTTTTTTTTTTGTATTTTTAGTAGAAATGGGGTTTCACCACGATGACCAGGCTGGTCTCAAACTTCTGACCTCAAGTGATCCACCCACCTCGGCCTCCCAAAGTGCTGGGATTACAGGGGTGAGCCACTGTGCCTGGCCGGGGATCCTTTCTTTTTCCTTGATCTTTGGTAGTTTGATTATTAAATACCTAGAGGCAGTATTCTTTGGATAAACTGCTTGATGTTCTATAACATTCTTGTACTTGAATGTTCCTATCTTCTCTAGGTTTGGGAAGAGCTCTGATAATATCCTTTTGAATAAACTTTCTACCCCAGTCTCTTTCTCTACCTCGTCCTAAGGCCAACAGCTCTTAGATTTGCCGTTTTGAGCCTATTTTCTAGCACGTATAGGCATGCTTCACTGTTTTTCATTCTTTTTTCTTTTGTCTCCACTGACTGTATTTTCAAATAGCCTGTCTTTAAGCTCACTAATTCTTCCTTCTGCTTGATGAGTTCTGCTATTAAGAGACTAATGCTTTCTTTGGCCTGTCATTTACATTTTTCAACTCCAGAATTCCTTCTCTGTGTTGTCTGGAATTTCTTTGTGTTTCTTCCAAACAGTGATCTTGAATTACCTGTCTAAAAGGTCATACATCTATTTCTCCAGGATTGGTTTCTGGTGCCTTATTTAGTTCATTTGATTAGGTCATATTTTCCTGGATGGTGTTGATGCCTGTAGATGTTTGTCTGTGTCTGGACATTGAATAATAATACTATAAAAAATACCAAAGTGTTTATTATAGTCGTCACCATCTGGGCTTGTCCTCCTTGGTAATGTTTTTCATGTATTATTAGAGATTTGGGCCCCAAACCCAATAACACTGTGGTTTTTGCAGACTTGTAAAAGTTTCATCTTGGTTGACTTGGATAAGATCCAGACATCTCTGGATTACCAGGCAGACTTTCGTTCTTCTCCCTAACTTTCTACCAAGCAAATGGAGTCTCTCTCTCCATGCTGAACCACCTGGAGCTGGGGGTATAGTGATGTAATTACCCCTGTGGCCACCACAACTGGGATTTCACTGGGTCACACCTCAAGTGAGCACAGCACTGGGTCTTGCCCAAGGCCCTTGCCTCCATAGCAGTGAGTTCTCCCAAGCTGCTACAGATGTCCAGAGATGCTGTCTGGAAACCAGGGCTTTGATTAAAAAACCTTAGCAGTTTACCTGATGTTCTATTCTATCGTGGCTAAAAGTGTCACTCATACCACAATAGAAAGTCCTCCCTGCTCTTCCTTTCCATATTCATAGGCAGAGGAGCCTCTCTCTGTGGCCACCATCACCACCAGTCAACGGGGGTTCTACGAGTCCACCACTGATGTTCATTTAAAGCCCAAGGGCTGTTCCATCAGCCTGTGGTGAATGCGCCAGACAGACCTGGGACTCACCTTTCAGAGCAGAGCAGTAAGCTCCCGACTGCCCCAGAGCAGGTCCAGAAATTGTTTACACGAGGAAAATTAATCTAAAATGATGTGATAAAATATGCCTTTACTCCTATAAGTGTTATCTTCCACAAGTGTTTAATATTTAATGAGAACATTTTAAAAATATTTTAAATATTTAAATGTTTATTTAAACATTTTCTTTGTTTTTTTGCTTCATGGGAAAACTGTATCCAAAAGGACTTGATCTGCTGGTAGAATGAAGAGCAATAGATTTGGTGAGACCAATTCCTATAAGCTCATGCTGACATTTCCTCTACCTTATGGCTGGTATTTCATATAGCCATGGAAACTGTTAGAGCTAAGCAGAATAATGATCTCATTTGGACACATCTAACTCTCCCATTTTTGTGTGGACATAGCCTTGGCCAATAGTGATTTGATTTTAGATAGAATCTGACAAAAAGCAGAATGTGAAGGAGGTGAAATACAAGTAGACTCACAATGAATTAGATGTACCATATTTCTTTCCTGTCAGGCCTAAAGTTGTGACCTGCTTGAAAAGGCAGAAAACTAAAATGGAGAAAGGTCTGAGAACTCAGAAGCCTCAGTGAGAAAATGCCACTGCTAAAAGAGAAATGACCTTTATGGATTTTGCTCTTCATACTTTGTTAACTGCCTTAGGAGTTAAATTTTGAAAAGAATAGCATGAATGTTCTTATTTCTAGCCTTGTTAAAGAGCTTTTTAGTTAAACAATTTTAATGCTAAGGTTAATTAGGAAAGAAGTCACAGGGAATCCATTTTTGTTTCTAAGAATGAACAGGTAAGTGGTAAAGGATACACCAAAGAGAAGACAGACTCTTTTGCAATATTTTTGTTTTTCGCTTTCCTGATTTTAGTTTTCTGTAAAAACCTCTGCCTCTCAGGG
This sequence comes from Homo sapiens, assembly GCF_000001405.40. Lineage (NCBI taxonomy): Eukaryota > Metazoa > Chordata > Mammalia > Primates > Hominidae > Homo > Homo sapiens. Next base: position 86,346,961 of record NC_000003.12, read on the forward strand.
TCTATAAAATCATTCCGTTATATCTTGTATCATATTTTTTAGGTCAACAAGAAAATAGTGTTCTCTCAATATTCATTTGATGAACAAAAAAAGTTATGTAAAAAAAGTAGAAGGCCTGTCTCTTTTTTCCTAATCTGGTAGCTTCTATTTCTACATGAAATTTCTTATATTTTTCCTGTTCCAGCTGCTAGATTTTCAAGAGTAAAATCTGGGAATGGACCAAAAGTTAATTCTAATTAAAAAATGAAACCATTAACGTTTAGATCTTTAAAAGTTTAAATTTTTGAAGATCCTTGTAACTTTCTCTAATAAAGAACACATACATTCTTGATGAAAAGGCACAGAAGAGGAAAAATTTGAATTCCCCTTTTCTTGGGTGTTGAGTGCTTTCTAACTGATTAAAAGGGATAATGAGACTATCTTACTGTTAAGTGACAATATGTGTCCTTATTTTAAGTACATAATTATGTTTTCTTAAATTATTCCCAACTTCAAACTCATCCCTACTTCACCTTGCTTCCCTAATTCCTGTCTAATCTTAGATTTAGGGTTAATTTTTCTTCTTCTGAAGATTTCTTTGAATTCCTTGGTATGAACACATTTTAATACTAGCACATATTTTTGATTTAATTATTTTTATCTTAATTATTTCAAGTCTAAATCTTTGTCGTCAGTGACACTTACTCCTTAAAATCAGAACCCATATCTTATATATGGGGTAATTATACAGTTTCAAAAATGTCCCCCAAAGATGCCTTGAACTCTCAAACTATATTTAATATCTTTAATCTCATAGGCAAGTGAGACTCCTTCTGCTGAAAATAGTCAATTTGATCAAAATATGAGAGATTGATTATTTTCATTAAGTGATTTGTAGTATAAAAACTTTTAAGATATTTTTAAATGTAATTTGAAATAGAAATGGAGGCTTATTGAAGGCCCTGTGTGTTTTAGGACAATGGACAAACTATGATAATTGTAAGTGAACAAAAAATTAGTGACAGTTTTCCAATTTTATTTATGCTTTGATCACCTACAACTGCTAGTGTCGGCATCAATACATTCTTGAATGAAAATCATTTAAGCATTACATCGTGGCTATTTTATGTTTCTTTTTAAAAATATAAAAAAAACTCTCTAATTGAAAAGAGAAACATAGGTCAACATTTTTATGCTGTTGTTATTTCTCATATAAGGAAATTTTTTTTTCTTTTCTTTTCTTTTTTTATTTTTTTTGAGACAGGATCTCACTCTATCACCCAGGCTGGAGTGCAGTGGTGTGATCATGGCTCACTTCAGCCTCGGCCTCCTGGGTTCAAGCAATCCTCCCACCTCAGCCTCCTGAGTTGTTGGGACCATGCCTGGATAATTTTTGTAATTTTTTTGGAGACAAGATTTCGCCGTGTTGACCAGGCTGGTCTCGAACGCCTAAGCTCAAATAGGCCACCTGCCTCAGCCTCACAAAGTGCTGGGATTATAGGCACTAAGTAAGTATTTTTTCAATGTTAAACACTTAAAAGTGAAAGTTTTTTTCTTTTTCTCCAAGTTTATTTTTTAATTGACATGTAAATTTATATGTATTGTGTACAACATAATGTTTTAAAGTATATATATATTGTAGACTGGTTAAATATAGCTAATTAACTAATTACCTTACATAGTTATCATTTTTGTGTTAAGAATAATTCAAATCCACACTTTTAGCATTTTTTAAGAATATAATATATTGTCATTAACTATAGTCACCGTGCTATGCAATAAGTCCCTTAAACTTCTTTCTCCTATCAAACTGTGAATGTGTATTCTTTGACAAACATCTCACCAACCCCTTCCACCCTCTGACTACCCACAGATTCTGGTAACCATCATTCTGTTTTCTACTATTTTGGGATCCATTGTTTTAGATTCCACATATGAATGAGATCATGTGGTATTTGTGTTTCTGTGCCTTGCATTTTTCCCTTAACATAATGTTCTCTAGGTTCACCCATTTGTGCCTAATGACAGGATTTCCTTCTTGTTTCATGGATGAATAATATTTCACTGTGCATATAAATCACATTTTCTTTATCCATCCTTTCATTGATAGGCAAAATATGATCCCATATTGTGCCTATCACGAATAAAGTTGTAATAAGCATGCAAGTGCAGATATCTCTTCAACATGTTGATTTGCATACGTCCTGATGATTAAGTGTGATGTTGAGCACTATTTTATACACCTGTCAGTCATTTGCATGTCTTCTTCTCAGAAAGGTCTACTCAGGTAATTTGCCAATTTTAAAATCAGGTTATTTGTTTTCTTGCTATAGTTGTCTGAGTTCCTTGTATAGATTGCATATTAACCCCTTATGAGATGTATACTTCCAATTATTTTCTCTTGTTTTGTGTTTGTTCTCTTCACTTTGTGGATTTTTTCCTTTGCTGTGCAGAAGCTTTCCAATTTTATGTAATCTCATTTGTCTATGAAGAGACTGTCATTTTCTGACTGTCTGTTTTTGGCATCTTTGTCAACATGCAGTTGGCTGTGAATGTATGAATTTATTTCTGAGCACTTTATTCTCTTCCACTTGTCTATGTGTTTGTTTTTATGTCAGTTCCATGTTGTTTTGGTTACTCAAGTTTTGTAGTATATTTTGAAGTTAGGTAGTGTGATGTCTCCAGCTTTGTTCTTTTTGCACAAGATTGCTTTGGCTGTTAAGGGTCTTTTGTGTTTTCATATGAATTTTAGAACTGATTTTTTTTCTATTTCTGTAAAGAACGTCATTGGCATTTTGAACCTGTAGATTGCTTTGGTTAGTATAGACATTTTACCAATATTAATGTTTCCAATCCTAACCATGAGAAATCTTTCTATTTATTTGTGTATTCTTCAGATTATTTCATCAATGGTTTATAATTTTCAGTGTACGCATCTTTCACCTCATTGGTTAAATTTATTCCAAGGCATTTTATCTTTTTTGTAGCTATTGTAAACTGGATTTTTGATAATTTATTCTTCAGATAGTTCATTGTTAATGTATAAAAGTGCTATTGATTGGCCAGGCATGGTGGCTCACGCCTGTAATCCCTGTGCTTTGGGAGGCCGAGGCAGGCAGATTACGAGGTCAAGAGATTGAGACCATCCTGGCCAACATGGTGAAACCCCGTCTCTACTAAAATTACAAAAATTAGCTGGGCGTGGTGGCACGCGCCTGCAGTTCCAGCTACTCGGAAGGCTGAGGCAAGAGAATCGCTCGAACCTGGGAGGCGGAGATTGCGGTGAGCCGAGATGGCACCACTGAACTCCAGCCTGGAAATAGAGCGAAACTCCGTCTCAAAAAAAAAAAAAAAAAAAGTGCTACTGATTTTTGAATGTTGATTTTGTTCACCATTGTACAAGTTCACTTTGTTTATTGATTCTAACAGTTTTTTGATGGAGACTTGAGGGTTTTCTATGAATATATGATCATGTTATTTGCAAACAGGCACATTTTAACTTCTTTTCCAATTTGGATGACTTTTATTTCCCTCTTGCTTAATTGCTCTAGCTAGGACTTACGTCCAGTACTATGTTGAATAACAGTGGTTAGAGTGGGCATCTTTGTTTTTTCCAGATCTTAGAAGAAAAGTTTCAACTTGTCTTCATTCAGTATGATGTTAGCTGTCAGTTTGTCATATATGGTTTTTATTTATATTCCTTCTACACCAAATTTGTTGATGGTTTTTATGATGAAGCGATGTTTTGCCTTTTCTATTTTTTTCTGCACCTATTAAAGCCATCCAATGGGTTTTTTCTTCATTATGTTAATATTATGTATCACATATATTAATTTGTGTATGTCATACCATCTTTGCACCACTAAGATGAATCCCCCTTTATCACGGTAAATGAACTTTTTAATGTGCTGTTGAATTTGGATTACTAGTATTTTGTTGAGAATTTTGCATGTATATTCAGAGATACCGGCCTGTAGTTTTCTCTTTGTGTTGTACCTTTGACTGGTTTTGGTATTAGAGTAATGCTGACCTCATAAAATGAGTTTGGAAATATTCTCTCCTCTTCAACATTTTGGAAGAGTTTGAGAAGAATTGGTTTTAGTTCGTCATTAAAGGTTTAGTAGATAAATGTTCAGCACTTATGCCGTTAGATCTTGTTTTTATTTTTATTTTTTTCTTCGGCGGGAGACTTTTTATTACTGATTGCATGTCCTTATTTTTTATTGGTCTTCTCAGATTTTCTATTTCTTCATAATGTAATCTTGGTAGGTTGTATGTGTCCAGACATTTATCCGATTTTTTTCTAAGTTATCTAATTTTTTGGCATACAGTTGTTGATAATAGTCTTTTTTTTTTTTTTCTTTTTCTTTTTTAGACGCATTCTTGCTCTGTCTCCCAGGCTGGAGTGCAGTGGTGTGATCTTGCTCACTGCAACCTCCACCTCCCGACTTCAGGTGATTTTCCCACTTCAGCCTCCACAGTAGCTGGGACTACAGGCATGCACCACCACTCCCAGCTAATTGTTTTGTGTTTTTATTAGAGACGAGGTTTTACCGTGTTGGCCAGGCTGGTCTCGAACTCCTAACCTCAAGTCATCTGCCTGCCTCAGCTTCTCAAAGTGCTGGGATTACAGGTGTAAGCCACCACACTTGGCCTCATAATGATCTCTTATGATTCTTCATATTCCTGTGGTATCAGTTGTTTGTCTCCTTTGTCATCACTTATTTATTGGTTTTGACTTCTTTTTTTTTTTTGAGATAGAGTCTCGTTCTGTCGCCTAGGCTGGAGTGCAGTGGCGCGATGTTGGCTCACTGCAAGCTCCACCTCCTGGGTTCATGCCATTCTCCTGCCTCAGCCTCCCGAATAGCTGGTACTACAGGCGCCCGCCACCAGGCCCGGCTCATTTTTTTGTATTTTTAGTAGAGACGGGTTTTCACCGTGTTAGCCAGGGTGGTCTAGATCTCCTGACCCTGTGATCCGCCCGCCGCGGCTTCCCAAAGTGCTGGGATTACAGGCGTGAGCCCCCGCGCCTGGCCGGTTTTGACATTTTCTTTCTTTCTTTCTTTCTTTTTTTTTGAGACAGACTCTCACCCTTTCGCCCAGGCTAGAGTGCAGTGGCGCCATCTCCGCTCACTGCAAGCTCCGCCTCCCGGGTTCACGCCATTCTCCTGCCTCAGCCTCCCGAGTAGTTGGGACTAGAGGGGCCCGCCACCACGCCTGGCTGATTTTTTTGTATTTTTAGTAGAGACGGGGTTTCACCGTGTTAGCCAGGATGGTCTCGATCTCTTGATCTTGTGATCTGCCCGCCTCGGCCTCCCAAAGTGCTGGGATTACAGGCGTGAGCCACCACGCCCAGCCTTTTTTTTTTTTTTAATTATACTTTAAGTTCTGGGGTACATGTGTACAACGTGAAGGTTTGTTACATAGATATACATGTGCCATGTTGGTTTGTTGCACCCATTAACTGGTCATTTACATTAAGTATTTCTCCTAATGCTATCCCTCCCCCATCACCCCACCACACGACACGCCTGGATGTGTGATGTTCCCCACCCTGTGTCCAAGTGTTCTCATTGTTCAATTCCCACCTATGAGTGAGAACATGCAGTGTTTGGTTTTCTGTCCTTGCGATAGTTTGCTCAGAATGATGGTTTCCAGCTTCATCCATGACTTTTTCAAGAAAACTTACTCTTCATTTTGTTTATCTTTTTATTTATTTTTTACTCTTTTATTTATAGTATAATCTGTACTATTTCCTTCCTTCTATTAATTTTGGGCTTAGTTTGTTTATTTCTATAGATCCTTCAGTTGCAATATTAGGTTTTTTTTTTTGAAATCTTTCTCTTTTTTTTGCTGTGTCTATTGCTCTAAACTTCCCTCTTAGAACTGCATTTACTGCATCCCATTGATTTTGTATGAATTTTTTTTCCCATTTTTGTTTGTCCCCCCAAAATTTTTTAAATTTCTTTTTAATGTCTTAATTGACCAATTAGTTATTCAGGAACATGTTGTTTAATTTTCACATATTTGTAAATTTTAATAATTTCAGCATTTTTAAAATTTATCGTTCTGTTATTGATGTCTAGTTTTATACTGTTGTGGTCGGAAAAAATATTTGATATAATTTCGATATTTTAAAATCTGTTAGGACTTATTTTGTGGCCTAACATATGATCTATCCTGAACAATTTTCAATGTGCAGTTTAGAACATATATAGTCTGCAATTGTTGGATGGAATATTCTATATATTTCTGCTAGGTCTACTAGGCCTAGAAGGTGGTTAAAGACTGAAGTTTCCCTACTGATTTTCTGACTGGATGATCTGTCCACTGCTGAAAATGGAGTGTTAAAGTCCCCTAATGTTATTGTGTTACTATGTCTTCCTTAAGATTTATTATTTTTTTGCTTTATGTATTTAAGTGCTTGAATCTTGAGTACATATATGTGTGCATATATATGCAAATGAATATATAAATTCATACACATATATATATACATATTTGCAACTGAAAAGCAAAAGAGAAGAGGAGTAGCTATACTTATCCCAGATAAAATAGACTTTACATCAAAAAATATAAAAAGAAACAAGGTCATTATATGATAAACGGGTCAGTTCAGCAAGAAGATATAATGGTATATATATGTGTGTATATGTATGTGTACAATCTTGAGTATATATTTATATACTCTTTGGTGGGAGACATTGTATTACTGATTCCATCTCCTTTCTTGTTACTGGTCTTTTCAGAATTTCTGTTTCTTCCTAATACAATCTTGGTAGGTTATATGTGTCCAGAAATTTATCAATTTTTTCATGTACTCAAGATAGTATTTTGTATATAAATATATACAATTGTATCTTCTTGCTGCATTGATCCCTTTATCATTATATAATGACATTCTTTGTTTCTTCTTACAGTTTTTGATAAAAAACCTATTTTATCTGATATAACTATAGCTATTCCTCTTCTCTTTTGCTTTTCATTTGCATGGACTATCTTTTTCCATTTCTTCATTGTTAGTCTACATGTGTTCCCAAAGATGAAGTTAGTCTTTTGTAGGCAGGATATGGTAGGGTCTTTTTTTTAACTTCATTAAGCCACTCTATGTCTTTTAATTGGATAATATAGTTCATTTACGTTCAAGGTAATTATAGATAGGTAAGAAATTTTTAATATCATTTCATTAATTTTTTTTAGGTTTTCTTATAAATTCTTTTGTTCTTTCCTATTTTTTTACTTTGTGGTTAAGTATTTTTCTTAGTAGTATGGGTGATTTCTTGTTTTTTATTTTTTGTGTATCTATTATAGGTTTTTGCTTTGTGGTTACCATAAGACTTAACAAAAAATCTTACAGCTGTAACCATTATTTTAAACAGAAACAACTTAGCTTTTTTTTACAAAAGAAAGTACATTTTCACTCCATTCCCCTCTCGTTTCGAATTTTAGATGTCACTATTTACATCTACTTATATTTTATATCCCTTAACAAACTATCGTACTTACTATTTTTAGTAGTTTTTTTCTTTTAACCTTCATACTAAAGATATGTGATGTACACATCATCATTACAGTATTATTCTAAATTTGACTGTGTACTTATTTTTGCAAGTAAATTCTCTGCTTTCAAAAGTGTTTGTGTTACTCAGTAGCATTATTTTCATTGAGCTTAAAGAACTCCCTTTAGCTTTTCTTATAAGAAAAATCAGGTGGTTGTGAACCCCACCAACTAAGAGTTTCACCAGCTCTTAATAACCAACTTTTGATTGTCTGGGAAGTTTATCTCTGTTTTGTGTCTGAAGGATAGCTTTGCTGGGCACAGTATTCTTGATTGGCATTATTTTTTCCTTCAGCACTTTAAATATATATCATCCCACTCCCTCTTGGCCTTAAGGTTCTTGCTTAAAATTCTGCTGCTAGGTATACTGAACCTCCCTTGTATGTTATTTGCCTCTTCTCACTTGTTGTTTTCAGAATCTTCTTTTCATCTCGTTCTTTGAAAGTTTGATTCTGGCCAGGAGTGGAGGTTCATGTCTGTAATCCCAGCAATTTGGGGGCTGAGGTGGGTGGAACACTTGAGGCCGGGAGTTTGAGACTAACCTGGCTAACATGGCAAAACCCCACCTCTACCAAAAATACAAAAATTAGCTGGGCGTGGGGACATGTCCCTGTAATCCAAGCTACTCAGGAGGCTGAGGTAGGAGAATCACTTGAACCTGGGAGGCAGAGGTTGCAGTGGGCTGAGATTGTGCCACTACACTCCAGGCTGGGCAACAGAGCCAGACTCTGTCTCAAAACAAAAACAAAAACAAAAACAAACAAACAAACAAAAAACACAGCAAAAACTTTGATTAAAACACATCTTGAGGTAGTCTTATTTGGATTTCATCTGATTGCTGACCTTTGACCTTCATGTGCCTGGATATTCACATCTTTCTACAGATTTAAAACGTTTTCTGATTTATTTCTTTAAACATTATATGCCTTTGTTTTTCTCTGTTGTCTCTTGAACTCCAATATCTACAATTGTTGCTCTTCTGTTGCCATAAATCCTACAAACTCTCTTCATTCCTTTTTGATCTTTACTTCTCCTCTGACTATATATTTTCTAATAACCTACTGGTAAGTCTACGGATTCTTTGTTCTGCTTGACTCATTATGCTACTGATGCTCTTTGTTGCCTTTCTCATTTAGTTCATTGTATTTTTTTTCAGCTCCAAGATTTCTGTTTGATTTTATTATGTTAATCTCTGTTAAATTTCTCACTATTTTCACTCATTGTTTTCCTCATCCTATTGATTTTTTTCTGTGCAGGTGTGTGTGTGTATGTGTGTGTGTGTGTGTGTTTTGAAGCTTGATGATCTTTCTTAAAACCATTATTTTGAATGGCTTGTTGGGCAGTTTATACATCTTTTTCTCTTTGGGTTAATCATTGGTACTTTATTTTGTCCAGTTGTTGACATATTTCCTTGATTACTCTTAATCTTTGTGGTTATGCATCATTGTCTGCACACTGAAGATTCAAAGTAGGTATTTAGTAGAGTCTTCACAATCTGGCATTGTCTGAAAACCCCATTCAATGGTAAGCCTGTACAAAGATTCTGGGAAGGACTATGTCATAGTCCCTAAGCCTGTGACCACTGAAAACAGTGCCATTGAAGTGCTAGGGGTTTCACTAAGTGTAAGACCATCACTGTTGGTTTAGCACCAAGATGGAATTCTGTATCTATCAAATCTAGCACTGCACCCAAAGCATCTTTCACTGTGCCGAAAGCCCATAGTCACTGAGGCCAGTGCAGCACTCTGCTGAAGTCCACAGCTGCTGAGACCTGCCTATTGCTGTGGGTTATTAGAAGCCCAAGGCCACTGTAGTCAGCTGACAGTGATATCCACAGGAACCTATCTATTTCACCGGGACTATGGCTCCCTACCTAATGTGAAAGCAGGCCTTGTGGCTCAGTCCATGCTACCAGCCTGCATTCGGGGTCATGCAGTTCTCCCTAGTGCTGGGTTCTACTATGGTGGACCTGGTGTTGTAGACCGACATGGAGCCTTAGGTTCACTTTCCTCTTTTTCTCCCAAGTGAATAGCATCTGTTTCCTTGTGCTGCAGTGAGAAAGAGGTGATGCAATTAATGTAAAATTATCCCTCCTGCCATCTTCAATGTGACTTTTCTTATTTTCATGCTATAACCAAGTACTCTGATTTATCATCTGGCTTCCTTAGCTCTTATGATATTTTGGGACACAGATAGTTGTTCAAATTGATATTTCTGTGAGGGAATAATTGATGGGGAGTTATATTCCACCATGTTATCTTCAACAACAACAACAACAAAAAGTCTACAAGATTTTTCTTTATTTCAGGAAATGGAAGTTGTATCTCAAAAAAACTTTGGCATCAAATTCTTAAGAAATTCTTGAGTTTTTTGTAAAGTTGATACTCTGATTATGTATGCATTTAGAGTGGGGCTACAGTAAAGCAATATAATCTATTATGAAAATAAAATTAAAAATGTTCAAAATATTTAAGGACGTGAGATTATTTAGGATCTGTTCATGAAAATTTCATTTGAAATTTGGAGACAAAGTTTAACTAGTAGTTTTAAGGATTAAGGAAGGTAAAGGCAACTAATTTGTTGTAAGAGTTAAGTAACTTTATCATTAAGAGTTTTTACCTTTTGACTTGTCTTTAGCAAAACCTGACTTCCTTTAGACAGGAGTGTTGTTACCACAGTTCAAACTCTCTTTGCCTTGGTGACTGCTGCTATTCTGAGAAATGAGAATGGCACTAGTAAGACCAAAAGGTCATGATCAAACCTTAAATGAACTTAAGAATTATGATCCAAATTGGGTTTGCTAATTAATTAGAGAACTAATACATTATAACATTGATATTTGTCATCTTTCTATCATTAACCTTTATGCTCCAGCTAGATGTCAGTAAGAGAAGACATTAATGTCAGATTCACCAACATTTAGAGACAGATTCATATTCTTTATTGTGCTAATTTCCTTTTTAAATAGAAAGTAAGGAGCAGTAAGAAACCTTGTTTCACAACTCTTCTTCCTTGAGCAAGAGCACATAACCAAGTGACAAAATAGTGGAAGCCGTGGACAACTGGGAAAATATCTCTTCTATTTCCACAGTTGCTTCCATGGACATATTTGTCAGAGTTTCTATGCCATTTTTCTTTGCCCACACAAATGTTGGGAGTGGTCATTAAAGAGCCCTACAAGCGTTACATGGTAACAATGTCCGACACTCAAATTGCTGACAATGTAGCAACGCATTAATGTTGAAATGTTTGGTGATTGGAAAGAAATCCATTTGCACCTATTCTCACAGATATTAAGAATTTTAAATTTTCTTCAGAGTTCTTCTCTTCTATAAAGAATTATACTAGCACATAAAGGAACTATTTACTGAAATATGTAGTTTTGTCATTTACAAAGTGAGTTACATTAAAAATACATTGAAGTGAAGAATCTTTTACTTATTCCTCGCTGGATACAACTCTCAGGTAATCTGTTTAGTTACAGTACCTCCTTTTATTTGATATTGTTTATTTATTTGATCACATTCCATTTACCATTTCTGCAAAAATCTAATGTTAATGTGAATTAAATTCCCTTTATATTTCAAAGAGATTTGCCTTCAATGATCTTCAATGATGTATGTTGAAACTAGCATCTGATGAGTTAGAAATAGAAGAATATTATGAACTATATATTACTAACATATTATTACAGTAATAAATATACTGAAATATTAATATATAATCTATTAAATATGTATACATTTATATATTTAAATAATATACTCTGCAATTTATATACACTATCACTCATTTTATATATAATAAAATTTTATATAATGTAAAAATATGTAAAATGTATTATATTGTATATCATTTTATGATATATAAAATACATAAAACTATATAAAAGAAAAATCACTCATTTAATATATAATAAAATTTTATATAATATATAAAATATATTCGTATTTATATATTTTATATAATATATAAAATATATTCGTATTTATATATTTTATATAATATATAAAATATATTCGTATTTATATATTTTATATAATATATAAAATATATTCGTATTTATATATTTTATATAATATATAAAATATATTCGTATTTATATATTTTATATAATATATAAAATATATTCGTATTTATATATTTTATATAATATATAAAATATATTCGTATTTATATATTTTATATAATATATAAAATATATTCGTATTTATATATTTTATATAATATATAAAATATATTCGTATTTATATATTTTATATAACATAAATTTATAAAATATATTTTGTATAAATATATAAATATAATATTGATATTTATTCATATATTTATATGTAACAATTATATAGTATAATATATGACACATAACATATTATATATAACATAATGTCATATTATACATAACATAATATATAATATATTATGCTAATAATATTAATAATGATATACTAATTATAATATCAATATGATGTATCATTAATATTAAACACATCAATTAATATTAATTAATACTAATTTTAATGTAATATATAATATCAATATTAGTATGATATTAAGTATTATATAAAATAATATTTAAATTATATACAATTCCATATTTTAGTATATATTAGTATATATACTAATGTGTACATATACATAAATATATATATAAACGAGTGATACTCTTTTGTATATATAAATATTTTCCATTGTTTTGGGTATTACTATTGATACATTTTATCCCTTACTAATTCAGTCTTGCATTCTGATACAGTCACATTTTTATCTAGCAATAAAGATAATTATATTTGGTAAAGTTTATCTTTTATTATAAAGACTATGCCTATGGTATCTTAAACTGGGTTTTTAAAATATGTAATGTATAATGCAAATGGAATGCTTAAATTAGTCTTTTGTCAGGTGCTCAGTAGAAATAGGTTGAGATGGTGAGTTGACACAATAAATACTCTGTATTACCGCTCTTTGATATACCACTTTAGGTTTATCTGTTTGGGAATCATTTACAGAGTGATCGTCCATTTGATGTTGTAACAGTCAATTTCCCCTTATAATAAATACTTATCTGATGTTTAGCTATTGTTATTCACCATAAGGTTACTTAGCACCTGAAATAAGTCATGTGGCCTTGCCAGATTTAACTAAACTCTTTATTAATTTAGATGCAATTAAAGATTAGAATCACTTTTACAGGAAAGTAATTTAATTCCACACTACCTAGGTAACTAGAGGAGCTCTTTGATTTTGGAATCCAAGAAAATTCTTTAAACAATTTGACTAAGAACTGCAAACCAGCAGGTATGTGACTAATCAGATTCTTATCTTTTATCTTCTAATATGACAAGAACTGAACCAGAAGCTTCTTCTTTTGCTCTAATAAGGAAAATAAAAACAAAACTATTCATGATATTTTGTAAAGCTTCCCTATGTTTTTCTGATTATTTATAAATTTGATATTCATATTCACCAGAAGGTGTTAATGCAATTATACATAAATAGAAAGACACGGATGAGCTGCTGAATACTAATGCTTCACACGCGTATGGGTATTCAGGTAGGTAGGGTATGGAAATATACACTATTCTGGTTTGAATAATCAAAGTAGTATTTCTGCTTATTTATTTCTCCTAAGTATTCTTAAGTGTGTGTGGGTGCATGTATATATATACATATAATATATATATATGTGTGTGTGTGTGTAACTACATATATATTCATTTTGAATGAATATGTACAGAGAGAGAAATTGAAATTTTTATAGGTGGTATAAAAATTGATGCTCTGTGTTAAAATGTTTTCTTATGTTTCCACATCCTTGTCATGCAGTCCTATGGTTTTGGAGGGTAGTTCTATGACATTATCAAAATGATGGCAATCTCCTTCACCCATATTTTGTCCTACAATTATCTGATAGTATAAGCTATGTTGCTTTGACGCATAATTTTCCTGTTAAGATGAAATATTATGCTCAATTCAGTATGTTCTGAGGTGATAAAGGGGGATTTTTAAAGCCTCCTATCATCCCATTTTCTGAAACATGGAATGCTAGGGCATCTGAAAATCTCCCTTTTCCCCCTTAATATTAAAAGTAAGTCCCAGATGATGCACGTATCACTGAAACATTTTTAGATATCATGTTAATTTTTATCCTTCCTATTATTTCAGGCCCAAAATTTTCCCAGAAATATACTTTTTTTTTTTTTTTTTTTTTTTTTTTTTTTTTTTTTTTACAGTAGGGAGAAAGCTCCACCTTTTAAAGTCTTCAGTAAGTCTTGATTCTGTGATAATAATTAAAGATATGTGATGATGCTTAGTTAGTTGAACTTGGTAAGTTTATTGTATCTTTTCCATAAGTCTTCTAAGCTCCTCTCAAACAATTTTAAGAGGCACAATGAGTCTATAACAGATTATTTTCCCTTCTATTTCTCATATAAACATGCAAACAGGCCTCTCCATATAAAGGGAGTATGTGCATACATATCAGGTGATTTTAACGTACAATACTTTCGGGTATGAAGGAAAAGCTTATATAGAAGGGTATTGAGGATGGACTACAGCCAATAGCCAGTAAGATATTGAGGCCCTCAGTCCAAAATTCCACAAAAAATTAAGTGCTGCCCATAACCACATCAGCTTGAAAGCAGATCCTTTCCAAGTGGAGACTCAGTGGTACCAAAGCCTAGTGCAGAAACCTGACTGCAGCCTTATAAGAACTTGCATGCAGAGGACCCAGTTATGCTATACTCTGGCACTTGCCTCACATAAATCATGTCATCCTCAATTGTTTTCTCTCAGAACCAGTTGGCTTTCTGACCCTGCCTCCCCACTCTCACTCCTAGGATCATTACACCCATCAATTCCTGTAGCAAGAAATATCTGGGGGAAATTGTTTCCTTTTTTTTCTATTTTTACATGAACTATGAAATAATATATATATATGTAATTAGTCACTAATTTCGTGGTAATATTGTTATGTAGCAATAGAAAATGAATACCCCCTGTCCTCCTATGGACATTTTCCCTCTCATAGTCTATTCTCCATAGAGCAGGTAAGTGATTTTTTTTAACTAAGTTATTACCAAACAACCTTAATTGTTTATATTTATTTATTTATTAACTGAAAAATGTTTAACTCCTCTTTTTTGTACTATACTGTACTTTAAGACTGAAGGTATAAATATAAGCAGCTATGTACTTATCTGTACTTGTATTTCCATTTACTTATCCCCATTCAGTTTTCAATGCAATGAAATTTATTACTCTACTCAATTGTCTTGTCACATTTGAGTTTCTAAAATCTGTTAAAACTAGCTTTTTCATTTAAGTCATTAGTGTTCTTCCAAGTTGTCTTTTCACTTCAAACATCATCCTACCTGTTTTTAAGAATTAAAGTTTTTGCCTATATTCTTGAACTAATCTCTTTCTTTGATTACTACAGCATGTTATCTTATTTTTTTTTTCATTCTCTGGCTTTTTGTTCTTAGCTTTTTATTAAAAGGAACCAGTTTCACTTCCAAATTAACTTATTGATCTATTAATGCAGGAATCCATGAATAAATTAATCCATTTATGAGGGCAGACCCCTCATGATCAAATCACTTTTTAAAGACCATGTTGGGGATTACATTACCAATGGATATGAGGGTGGTCTGGCTATGACATCGTCACCTGATCAATCATCATGATTGAATTGGCCAATGTGGCTGGCTAGGCAGGTGTCCCTTCCCTCACTCACTGCTCCATGTTCATTCCTCCAGAAGCTGTGCGCTCAGTTAAAGAGGATGACCTTCCCTGATAGAAGATGACCTTCCTTGATAGAGGAGGACCTTCTTTGGTCAAGGGTATATAAACAGCTGTACTCCCCTGCTACAACCTCCAAGCAAACTCTCAAGGTCCATAAGTTTCCAACACATGAAATCTGGGGATATTAAAACCACAGCATCCACCAACTATCCAAGCTGTCCAAGTCAGATCCTTCTGTGTCATCTCCAATTATTTTCTCTCAGAACTACTTGGCTCTCTGACCTTGCCTCTCCACCATCACCCCCAGGATCATTACACCTGTCAATTCTTATAGTAAGAAACATCTGGGAAATTTGTTTCCTTTATATTCTTATTTCCATTGGTGAGTTTTGGCCTAAGTCATTTCAGTGGATTTTAAAATATTTTCTCTCTCTGTAGTTTGCTTCCTTCCTCCTTGCTTCCTACTCATTTTCTACACTATTGTCAGATTGATGTTGCAAACATGTAAACCAGTCTAATCATCTCTCGTTACTCATATGCAAATTATTATAGTGTTCAAATGTCTTAATGTTGCTATGTAAGATGATTTATAAACATAATTACTCCTGGCTCTTTCTCTTGTTATTCTTCCGTTTATATGTCCTAAGTTACCCAGTATCCTCTTCCTCACCTCAGTGCTTTGCATATACCCTTTTCTTACTCGCAGACATTCTACCTTGTCTCTTGACTCATTCTTACTGTCTTGGAGGAGGAGAAAAACAACAGTTTCCTTCCTTATAGACTCCTGAGATATTTCCTTCTATCCCTTGTTTCCTTGTTGAGTCAAATTTTCTCATTATGCTTTCAAAGTATACTGTTTACATATTAATTGCAGCACTCAATGTACTTTATTTTAGATGTTTGCTTAGTTTTTACCTCTTTTGATTAAGATAACTAAGATAATTATTTTTTTGAGACAGAGTCTTGATCTATCACTAAGGCTGGAGGGCAGTGGCACAATCTCAGCTCACTGCAACTTCCACCTCCTGTGTTCAAGCAATTTTCCTGTCTCAGCCTCCTGAGTAGCTGGGATTACAGGTGTGCACCATCATGCCCAGATCTTTTTTTTTTTTTTTTTTTAGTAGAGATGGGGTTTTGCCATCTTGGCCAGGCTGGTCTCAAACTCCTGACCTCAGGTGATCCGCCTGCCTCAGTCTCCCAAAGTGCTAGAATTATAGGGGTGAGTCACCATGCCTGGCCACATAGTTATAAATTTCTAAACCATTCATTAAGATGTAGTTTCTGGCACATAGTAGGGACCAAATAAACATTTTCTAGCTTTAAGTCATAACACGTGAAATTCTTTTTTTTTTTTTTTTTTTTTTTTTTTTGAGACAGAGTCTCACTCTGTCACCCTGGCTGGAGTGCAGTGGCACGACCTTGGCTTGCTGCAACCTCTGCCTCCCAGGTTCAAGCAATTCTCCTTCCTCAGCCTCCCCAGTAGCTGGGATTACAGGCACCACCACCAGGCCCAGCTAATTTTTTTTTTAAGTACATATACACCATGTATTTCACCATGGTGTATTTGTATACACCATGTTGGCCAAGCTGGTCTGAAACTCCTGACCTCAAGTGATCTGCCCACCTCGGCCTCCCAAAATGCTAGGATTACACCTGGCCTAAATTCTTTATTAGTCATTGATAGCCTAGCCCAAAAGAATTATTTCAGTAAATTACCAGCTACTTAGCAAGGATAAAATGATGTGGGAAACAGGGCAAAAGAGTTTGAATGAAGGAGAAAGGGTCTTGAACGTGGAAAGGTAGGCCAGAATGGTAGAACAGTACAGCATTGAAGGGTACTGGTACAATAGACTGGATAAGGGAGAAAGGATATGGAAGAATAGGAAGAGAATCACACAGAGAAGGATGGAGTGGTGCTAATGAAACACTCAATGGGCTTTTTCTACTTCACAAACCCTCAGGTCCAACTGAATGGTCATCTTCACTTGAATGGTAAAAGTCACAGTCAGTATCAGTGATTTACTACTCACTTACTTTTCTACTTCATTGCCAACCACTGAGTTATGATTTATCAAAAGTAAACTGTAGATAAAGGCAAAGGCATTCCTTTTAAAACCGTATGACTTTAAGAATGGAAGGACTGATACATCAATTGATGGATCTTTGGCTATAACACAGTTCTCAAGCTACAGATGCCAATGTGAAGCGACAGATGGCACGCTGAAACTCTGTTAGCTGTGCATCCTGAGTCACAGGAAGAGCAGAGGGGTCAAGGCTCAGCAGGTGATGAAGTACTGCACTGAAGTGCTCGTCTCTGCTTGCTGTTCATGAGCAGTGCATGCCTTATTGATTATTACAGTGTCTATATTAGGTATTTGTCATACACTTTTTTATTTACCCATTGGATATCAGAGTTGGAAGGAACTCTTACAGATTTTTCTTCAGATAGTTTGTTTTAAGATGCAGAAACTCAGAAAGTTACATTTATTATCCAATAGCAATGCCAAATGAGGACCAGGACAAGGAGAAGAACAGTTGGAACATGGTCTTCAATGTCATGGTAGCTGTGTTGTTTTCGCTTTCATTTTAATTCATAACACTTCGCCACTTAGTTTTATGTCCCACCAACCATTGGACCATTCATGTCACATTGCTCATAATAACTATTCTGATCCTTTGATTTTTTTTTTTTGGCAACGCTTCTGAAAACAGGACCTTGATAATAAGAACTCTGTAAAGTTTTTCAGAAGAAAAATTTTATTTAATATAAAAGAAAAATTCAAATATCCCCACTATCTAATAATAACGCAATGGACTGCTTCATAGACTTAAGGGATCTCAATCACTAGAAGTGTTCAAAAGCTGACCACCTTTCAGAGAAAATCATAAGGAAAACTTCTGCATTGGCTAGTAGTATAGCTTGGATATTTGTCCGCACCCAAATCTCATGTTGAAACGTAATCCCCACAGTTATTGGTGGGGCTTCGTGGGAGGTGTTTGGATCATTGGACTAGATCCCTCATGAATGGCTTAGTGTTATCCCTGTGGTGGTAATAAGTGAGTTCTTGCTGTGAGTTCACATAAGATCTGGTCATTTAAAAATGTGTGGCACCTTCCACCCCACCCCCACCACCTCATGCTGTCTCTCTCTGGCCATGTGATGTGCCTGCTGCCTGTCCCCTGCCCCTGCTTTGCCTTCCTCCATAAGTAAAAGCTCCCTGAGGCCTCCTCAGAAGTCAGGTAGACACTAGTGCCCTGCTTCCTGTACAGCTTGTCGAACTATGAGCCAGTTAAACCTCTTTTCTTCATAAATTACTGAGCCTCCGGTATTTCTTTATAGCAATGCAAGAATAGCCTAACACAGTAGGAAAATTTAACTTGCTGTGTATTTTATTACTGTTTATTCCATGGAGACAAATTATTCTCATCCAAGTCTTAAAATGAGTTACTAGCTTAAGGCTAATAATTCAAACATGAAGGAGAAGGGGTAAGCAAGAGGTCCCTACTTAGATGTGGCAAGGAATGGCTATTTTTTTAATCTTCAAAGAATAATCCTAACCATGAGTTGCCCATCATGTTACATATTCATTATTTCAAAGACTGGGGCAAGTTACATGTTTAAATTAAGAATTTTGGTTGGATATAGAAGGAACTAACTTGAAATATCTTAAGCAGAAAGCATAAATGTATTATGAAACAGAGACACATCATGGAAGCCTAGGACAGAAAATCACCTGGGTCTTTCAATAGCAATGTAACTGAAAAGTTAAAAATTGCTGCTGTCTTTCATCTTTATTTGCCCTCATGTACCTGTTTCACTCTTCTCTACACACTGACTTTCTCTGCTTCTTTAATCCACATAAGAAATAACTAGAAGCCACATACTACACTGTTCCCAGTGCTTTATTTACTTTTTTAAAAAATATATAATCCTTAAATCACTTTTTGGGGGAAAAAACTCTGACTGCATCTCTTAGGTCCAGTCCAATAAACTAAGATCATAAAGGGGTCAGGTGCAACAGTATTTGAGGACTTAGAGCTATAACTGAAGTCAGGGGATGGGCTGATAAGTGGTTTATTAGGATGTTGGTGGACACGACAAACAAATACCAATTACACCAAAGCATAGTTCTTTACCCAAGTATGTGTGCCCACACCCTACTCCAGACATTAAACCCGAATCTCTAATGTATTATCTCAGAATTGAGATTTTGAAGAAATAACTTTCCCAGGTGATTATGATGAACACCTTTACCCTTATTGAAAATCATTGATAAAATATACTTATAAGTTAGTAAAATAGAATAGAACTAGTTCTGCTTCTCATCTCAAGTACTTTGGATATCTCATGTGAAATGAGCCATGTCTGTCAGGTGCACACTGGTACAAAATCTTTGAATCTGGAACGATCATTTATCTGTTATTTACTTTGTGAAGCTCATGAATCTCAGACTTGTGTTTATGTTTGGACACCGATAAGATAGAATGGATTGAGGGATTACAATACTGTACTTGTATCCACAAAAGAGTATGTTATGAGTTAATAAAAGATAAAAATGGTCTTCTGTTTACCACTGAGATGTAGAAGGTAAAATATCCTGTTCCCCAGTATGGGTTTCCTTGACACTTTGCTTATCTTCTTTGCTATTCTAGTTTTATTGTATTCCCTGATACAACTGGGCAGATGTTCCATGGTACGGAAACGGTCTGTCTGGTTTCAGGAGACGTTTCTGAACAGCAATGAACAGTTTTACTTCACTTTATTCAAAATGTTCTTGTTTTTTCTTGAGTCTCACAGCTTTTGGTTGCAAAAGTTTTCTAGCCACTCAGAGACAACTAACTGCAGTCTACGTACATGTCTTGATATCCCCCATTATACCTGCATTCTCTGAACATGATGCCATCTGAATAAAACCAAAGCATTAACACAATCTAAAATATATTAATTGTTCCTGATAATTATGACAGAATATTTTGCCCTGTATGTAGAAAAAATGTTTTTTGTCAGAAATGGCATTTTCACTCTTTTTGCTAGAGGGGATTTAAAAGTTTTTCCACTTTAAAAAAGCATATTTTAACAATGAGAATATTCTTTGAAGGTTAGAAACGACATTAAGCTTTCAAGAGTTGGTATAGATCTATGCAAGGTCACTACTAATTTGCTGAGAGTGGCAAACATTTAAAACATCATACATGAATATAAACCAAGATCTTTACATAATATATTTAGCAAAAGGATGGGAACAGTTATTTCACAATCTATCCCAAAATATAACACAGGGATCAAGTCTTACTCATTTTTATGTTTACAGTCTTAGCATGGTGCCTTGTATATAATGTTTCTTTTGCGTTTGAATAGATTATTTAGCATGCCATTTCATTTTTTAAACGGATAGGCATACAAATTTATCTTAATGATTCAGAATTGACCTTGATGCTTTCTAATGCTGTGGTGCTGTTAGCAAAGGTAGGGATTCATGCTGTTATTTGCTTTATAAATGAGAAATTAAAACCCAGAAAGCAGTGTGGAAAAATTTCTCAGGTTTATAATCATTATACCTTTTTTAAAGCTTAATTGCAGAAATAAAAATGAGCATTTCTTATGAGTCAATAAAGTCCCTATAATTTGGGGTTGAACGCTATGACTGCTACCTAAAATTCAGGATGGTAGTAATTTAGAGGGCACGTGTTGGTGGTAGGGAGGAGAACAGGGAAGGCAATGGCACCTGTGAGAAATGTCCAGGGCCTCCATTGAATATGTAACACTTTATCGATTAAGCTTAGTTGCTCGGTAAAGAGCATTTATTTTATGACTACTCTTCTTTTATATGCCTAAAATATTTCACAATTTAAAAAATCATTTTGAATTGATCCTGTACTAAGTCAAATATAAGACTTTTGTGGTTTGGAGTTGAGGTCATTTAAAGAGACTGAAGCAACATTAACAATGATAACTGAAGACGGGCCGAAAACCTTACTTACATTTCTATTTCCCATAATAAACCATTCGGAAAAAATATGGAACCTATTTAGCTATATTTTTAAAGGAAATTCCACAAGTAATTTTTAAGGAATTTCTAAACACTCTTCTTTTAAATGACAGTTGTATGCATTCTAAATAAATTAAGGTAGCAAAATATAATCCTCACTAATTCTTCTTGGTTTATATTTATTTCTAAGTAAAAGAGAATGAAAATGATAATAGCTGCCATTTATTAAGGTCCTATTATGAACCAGGCCCAGTTCTTATTAATCATTTATCCTTACAATAACCCTGTGAGTTAGAAGTTATTAACCTAGCTTTGCAGAAGAAAAACACTTACACAGAGAATGATTAATTTTTTTTTCAGATTTATTCAGGTAATAGTTGGTGTAAGTGCAGGCCTAATGTTCAAATAAAAGTCTGTCAGTTTACAAAGTTTGTTCTTGCCTCATAATAAATGTCCTTGTCTCATAACACAAGTCTCCCACCAGTAGTAGAAGACCAGTAAAACCAGGAATTAAGTGATTCAAAGCTTTTCTCTTGAGGTCACCGTTGGGCATTGTTATCCATTGATGTTGCTCTGTGGTAACACTTAAGCATGAGCATTTTGGAGTGGGAAACAGAAATAAATATACACTAATGAAGAGCTCTATTTGGATTTTCTACAGGAGGTGAGCCCATTACAAAAGAAAGGGCATCTTTATGTCCTTACTCAATTATTAGGAATAGAAATTTATTCTCTTACAGATAAAAGTGATGATTTGTTTCATGCTTGCTGAGAAGCTTCAAATAGTGCAAGTCTGACTTTTAATGATATATATGATTATTATTATTGCAGCTAATGTTTAAGTATTCACTATGTATTAGCCACTATGTCTATTGTTTACATAAATTATTTTATTTAATTTTGAGAACAATCCCTTACAGGACATGCTAGTATTACCCTCTAGTCATTGAATGAACAAACTGAGTCTTAAATAAATCTTGGAAACTCTTCAAAGCCACAAATCTATTAAGTACAGTAAGGCATCTAACTAGGCAGTCTAACTCTAAATCCCTTTCTTTGAACCACTATGATGTACTGCTGCCTGTGTGCAGCTGTGTGTACAGATGCAAAGAGAAAGACTGCACAAAAAGATAGAGATAGAGATAAGAATAACAACATTTATTCAAGAGGTGTGTATTTACCTATCCAGTTAAGGGCTATTTTACAACATTAAAATGTTTGTATTCTGACAATTCTGATTCTGTATAAATCTATAATAGTTTCAGTTTGCCAGGTAATTAAAGATTACAAGTGCATGCTTTCTATGTTATTTTAGACAAGTGGATATTATTGGAAAGTGCCAAGTGCCAAGTCTTAAACCTACATGTAAACTACTTATCTTTTTTTTCCTCTGCTCTCTTTCTCTCTTACTCTCTCTCTTTCCTCTCTTTTTCTTTTTCTTTTCTTTTTTTTTTTTTTTCTACTTTACAGCCTCAATCCTGTGGATAATCTTTTTGGGATGTGATATACTGCAAAAAGAGGAGGAAGTTAAGTTTAAGGTTTGCATTTATTGGTTATTTGTAGCCAAATGAGAATGTAGCTACAATACAATGCTAGAAAGAGGCTGCAACTTTATGAGTTTAGCACTGATACGTTAAAAAGTGTAGGTACATTTTCATGATTATAATTAAAATATATATTAGAAATTAAGAAGGTTCAACTGCAATTAACTGTGGCTCAGAGCATCAGGCAGTAAAGGATTTCTCAATTCTTATTGTGTAAATGTTGAATAAATGTTGAATTCTTTGGGGAAATAACTTGAATATCCATTGATTTTACTAGCACTATAATTAAATATATTCCCTAAGGAAATATACTTTAGTGTGTTGGGAAGCTGCCTGTTGTCTGTTCATCTTGGGCCAGGTAAGCTGTTTAGCCTGTCAGCCTATGGTTTGCTAACGCTCTCTACAATTATTACTTACACACGAGGATCTGTCTTCCCTTCATTTGAAGTCCATCTATATTTTTCCTAAACATCCATTCATCTACTTGAATATTTTATAATATTTATAAAAAGCTGGGGGAAACACAAAGTTTATTTAGGATTTATGTTAGGATTTAGCAAAGGGCTCTCTACTGATAGCAGTGACAATAATTTTATAACCCACTTAAAATTTCCTAGTAGTGTTAATTACTTTCCCAAAACAAGAGTGTATCTAGATTACCCTTCCTTCTCTTTCCACTGTTGTTTTCCATCTCTGAAAATTTTCAAACACATTTTTTTTTTTCTTTCGAGATGGAGTTTTGCTCTTGTTGCCCAGGCTGAAGTGCAATGGTGCAATCTCAGCTAGCCGCAACCTCCGCCTCCCGGGTTCAAGCGATTATCCTGCCTCAGCCTCCCAAGTAGCTGGGATTACAGGCATGCACCACGCCTAGCTAATTTTGTATTTTTAGTAGAGATGAGGTTTCTCCTTGTGGATCAGGCTGGTCTTGAACTCCTGACCTCAGGTGATCCGCCTGCCTCGGCCTCCCAAAGTACTGGGACTACAGTCTTGAGACACCGCACCGGCCTTCAGTTACATTTTATATTAAATGTTACTGTGAAGGAAGAGTATACTGGGAAAATTATACGTTCCAGCCTCCACTGATTTTTATAATCTATTGTCTAATACCAATGAATTTACAAACTAGATAGAGATAGGGACCAGGGAACTGGAAGTTACAATTAGATACTTTTAAGAGAATAAAAAGACAAGCCAAATACTGGGAGAAAATACTTGCAAATCACATTTCTGACAAAGTTTATATTTCCAGGATTTACAAATAATTCTGAAAACTCAGCAACACACACACACACAGAAAATCCGTTGAAAAATGGGCAAAAGATTTAAATAGGAACTTCACCAAAGAAAATATATGGATAACAAATAAACAGGAAAAGAAGCTTAGCAGCATTATTCATTAAAGAATGCAAATCAAATCACATTGAAGTATGACTATTCACATAATCAATGGTTAAAATGAAAACATATTGACACTACCAAGTTCTGGAGAGGATGAGGAGCAACTATTGCTCTCATACCTCACTATTGCAAATGCAAAACGTATGGCCTTTATGAATAAGAGGCTATTTCTTAGGAAGTTAAATAGATACTATAGTATCCTGCAGTGCCACTTCTAGCTATTTATTTAAGAAAAATGATGATGTATATTAACATAAATACCTGTGCATTAATAGTTATAACCAATTTATTCATAATCACCCAAACTGTAAACAACCCAGATGTCATCAATAGGTGAGTGGATAAACTGTGGTACACTCACCAAATTAATTCTACTCTGCAATAAAATGGAAAATGCTATTAATTCATGTAACAACATGGATGAATCTTAAGTGTATTTTGAAAGCTTTGACCAGAACCAGAGGATTATATATTGTATGATTCTATTTATATGATATTCTGGAAAATATAAAATTATAAAGATGAAAGATAGGCCAGTGCTTTGTAAACATTAGGGATGGTTGGGGATAAATTGACTGAAAAGGAGTAATTCACGACAATTTTGGGAGTGATGAAGATGTTTTTATTCACAGCAATGCTGGTAAATACACAACTCTATGTATTTATCAAAATCAATAGAACTTTGCACCACAAAGCATATGTTTTACTGTATGTAAATAAAAATGAAAACAAGATGCGAGAATATCCTAAATCGAATACAAACTTTAACGGATGAGCCTAATTGTGTTACCTGCATAACAGTGAAGGAAATAGGAAAGAAAATTACTAGCCTATGTTTAGAAAATAGTAATTTGACTGGATATTATAAAGCTAAAGACAAAAAATGTACATAAACATTATACTCTACTTAGTAAATTTTTTACTCACAGGGTATGGGTTACCAATTTTGAAACTACTTTATATGGATAGTAGGTTCCAACACATATATTTTGCATGCCTATCTAATGAGAGAGGCTGGAAGCAATATTATTGTAACAAAGTGCATACCTAGCACTCAGATCTTAGTTTCCAACTGCCAACCTCAATGAAACAAACAAGATCAGACTGGAGAAATTATTGATTTATAGAAATTATTGAATATTCTATATTATATATTATAATATAGAATATATTATATACAATATATAATAATATATATTATAATAATAATTATAATATACAATATATATAAATAATTTATAGAAATTATTGAAGAAGTACACATAAGCCTACAACATTTTGAGTGTCAGAAAGAAAAGGAGAATTAAAAATAGGAGGGGTTATGTAGAAAAGACAAAGGAACCCATTTGTAAGTTGCCAATGGCCAAAGCTCAATAACTGCTCAAGAATTTGAACCACACATAATAAAACAGTACTGATTATAACCCATAGAAGAAAATAAACATCTATGAATTCATAGTAATGTAAAAAATAAAGAATAGTGTTGCACCAGTGTTAATTTCAGAGTTTTGGTGATTGTGTAATGATTATGCAAGTTGTTAGCATTATGGGAAGCCGAGTGAACTATATAAAGGAAATCTGTACTACTTTGACAACTATTTTGTAACTCTAAAATTATTTCAATATCAATAAATAACTAAAAGCCCATAGGCAAGAGAGTACAAGGTGCATTGAACAACCTGTGGAGTTTGACACAGTTGGATTATGAAGTGTGAACTAGAAAGTGGGAAAAGATGAATCTGGACAGCTAAGCAGAGACTTATACAAAAATATACTGTTCATTCAGAAATGAAAATGTTATCAAGTGTGTTTACAAAAAAACTAGGCATGATCTGGTGTGCATTTTGGAAAGCATACACTTATGGACATCTAGGAAATGATTTAGAAAGAGACAAGCACAAAAATACAGAACCAACTAGGAAGAAGGGTAATGTGAAAGAAAAATAGGATAGTGTGAGGACGGGGAGAACAGAATAGATTTTAGGACAATTTAGGAGGTACGATAAAAAGGGTTAGGTTATTTATTAAGAGAGAGGAAAGAGGAGGGCATGGAATCTGAGATTATACCCATCATTTCTAGTTTAGAAACATGAGGCATTTTGACATGAGCTGAAAATAATTCTTTAATGATCAACTCTATAAAAATTGCCAAGTAATCTAAACCAACTATCCCCTGTCTATCTCAAGAAGAGATATTTATTCCCTATTGGATATTCCTCTTTCTCAGTGCTAAGCACTATTTCTAAGGTAAGAACCTGAGGTATGATTGACAGTGGCATGAGAGATTAGAATGAGTACCATCTGCAAGAAAAAAATTACACTTAGGGAAGAATCCAGTTTATTGTTTCATAATCTTGGCCCTGTAGCTAAACTAAGCTCCAATTTTGCTTTCTCCACCTACTTCATTTTTAATCACTTTCATTAGTTTCTCTTCCCCATATTTATTTCCTTTTTCATATCTATA